>NC_000015.10:92047338-92198853 GCF_000001405.40 Homo sapiens | reverse complement strand
AGAAAGTGGGGGAGATGCCAGGCTCTTTAAAAAACCGGCTCTCCAGTAAACTAGTAGAGTGAGAGCTCATTCGTTCTTGTGAGCAGGGCACCAAGCCATTTATGAGGGGTTCCCAATCATGACCAAAACTCTTCCCACTAGACCCCATCCCCAAAACGGGGAATCAAATTCTCACATGAGATTTGGAGGGGAGAAATGTCCTAACCATATTAGCCAGCATCTCAGCTCCAAATAATACCAGACTACTAGAGGGAGGAACACTGTGGGGTCTTCATGCTAGCTGCTTTCCACTGACATTTTCCTGGCCTCTGGATCTAGAAACAACCAAAAATAATTTGATGAATGTACTGAAGTTATTTATCAACCATTTACTGAGACCGCAACATTGTAAAAAAGACAGGGCTTAACACTAGGTGTAGGTTAATGATACTGGAAGATTTTGTTTCAATGTACTATATTTCTAACATCTTTCCAGAATCATCTGTCCCAAAACAGAAACCATCTTGTTTCCTGGGCATGCTATCAGAACAGGAAAAGAACTAATTTTTTTTTCAAAAAATAATTTCAAAATCCACATGAATGAAATACATTTTTAAGAACTGAACTTTTCTTAATATCAACTTTCGACGGGAAGCATCCTGCCAGCTGTGAATTAATGAGTTGCCTTGCCTCTGGGAGACTTCATAATCCTCCTCCCATTTGAACTGGTGGCTCCTCCTACAACCTTCTTTCATTTTCCTTTGCTTTCCAATTACAGTTGTTGGTGAAAGACAAGCAATCTTGCAGAATGCTTGCTTGCAGGCAGAAAAGGGGGTTCTGCAGGCCACTCACTTCCCCTGCCCCCTTCTCTAGCTCTCCTGTTTCTGCCCTGAAGCACAGGGTCCATATTGCCAACACAGCAGGAGCCCAGGGTTGATTTAGTTTGGCTTCCGCACTTACTGGGACCTCAAATGCCATCACCAAATGAGGTTGTGCACAGACTCCCCCAGAGACTGACTGGAGAGAATGAAGAGATTAACACACAACCTTCCAGTTGTTCTCTGTAACCACACCCCACTGCCTTCGTGTGCTTTGAATTAATTTTTTCTAGGAAAGCTCTAATTACCTTGTGAATAGAATGATTGTATAGCATTCTCTTCTGTCAAAAGCCTTAATTCTAAAAATGTAAACAATTTAAATAGTTCTTGATATTTTAATCCCATTTTTGGCATTTCTTTCTTGATTGTGAGCATCAAAAAATGGCCATGTTCTCTGTCTTTCCTCAACCTCTGAGAAGCCCTGGAATCTGTATGCTGTGCTAGAAAGAGCAAAGGCAATGTGAAGAGATGGGTTCTGCAAATTTTCTGAGCCTCTACTGCTGCTTCTAGAGCAGGGGTCTCCAAAAGCAATCCACTGGGTTACAGGCAGAAAATATGAAAACTTCTATTTATTTTTCATTTCAGCCTATAAAAGTCTAGTTTCTGTATTTTTGGTATAGTGTACATAATATGTTAATGCGATGGTACATATGTGTGCATATATATATATAATTTTAAACTTAGTAAATATTTATGGACATTTTATCCTGTAATCTTTTAAACAGCTTTAATTCATATGCCATACAATTCATCCACTTAAAGTATATAATTCAATGAGCTTTTGTATGTTCACACAGTTATGCATCCATCACCCAAATAAGTTTTAGAACATTTTCATTATCCCCGGAAGAAATTCCATACCATTCAGCTGTCCTCCCACCCCCAGGCCATGGCAAACACTTTTTTTGTCTCTAGATTTGCCTGTTCTGGATATTTTATATAAATGGGATCATACAAACATGGCCCATTATATTTGGCTTCTTTCATGTAGCCTAATTTTTTGAGGTTCATCCATGTTGTAGCATGCATCAGTACTTCATTCCTTTTCATGGCCAGATAATATTCCATTATGGATTCATTTATACCACATTGTATTTATCCATTCATCATTACTTCCATAGGTAAACAACTAAACTTTGTTGTAGACCCCTGACCTATATAATTATATATTCTATGCACTGTGCATAAAATATGATATTGAAAATAATCAATGAAAGCAAAGCACTAACAATAACAGATGCTGTCAGCACTAGAGTTGGCTTCTGGAAGTCCCACTTCATGCTCAGGTACATCTTTTACTTGCTGGGGCCAAGAAAGTAAAGGGCACTCAGGGTTTGGGGTAGAGGCTATTTGCCAGCTGTCGTAGAAGTATTTTGATATTTTTACAACTGGTGTGGTCATATGCGTGCATGCAAGTTGAATGCCCTGCTCGTGACATCTCCCTGGCAGATTTGCCTTGAGGGTTAAATAAGGCCAAGCACACAGAAAGGCCTGGTGAATGTTGTCCAGGAACGTGGTACCTTGCTACATATAGCACACACAATGGTCATCTTAAAGTCACTGCTTCTCATTCCATTCTATCTAGGACTGCTCCCTGCAGCTGAGAGTTCCTTCCCTGGAAGCCTATTTTATTATGCATGTAAGGGGAGTCATAGGTCTATAGCATGTGCCAGCACACCACTGAGATATCAAAGGGAAAGTCTCTTGCATGGGCCCCGTGTTCTCTCCCTGGAAAAGGAGGAAGACAAACCTGGCTGGAGTCTGATGAAGCAGCCTGAATGTGAAGCCACTAAGAGACAAGAAGGAAAAACGTTCAAACAAAATCCTACCCTTTCAAATCACTGCTTGCCTTGACTTGGTCTGTAACCCTAGAATATTCTCTGATTCAGTCTATGGGCTGCTGATCACTTCATTTTTGCCATTAGGTCACATAATTTTGGTGGAAACGGAGAGAGGCCTAGGTCAGGAATGTTACTTGCTCAAGATCACACACAGGTAGCTCTAGCTAGTGGCAGAGCTGAGCTGAGAGCAGAGGTTTCCTAATTAGGCTATGGCTTTTCTAATACACCAGCCCTGCAAGAGCAGCCAGTTTAACAAGAGTAGCTGAAATGACAGTTCAGTCCAACCGAAAAAAAGTGGTGAGCATAATTGAACTCCTTCTCTCTTCAGTCATGGTACCTTACGCTTGTGCTTCACTCAGTTTATACTCACAAAGTGTAGTTTCCCAAATCCAGTCTCTTTCAGGCCTTATTATAGCCATATGTAATAGAAGGAGTTTTAACTGTAGAGGATCTTGGTCACTGTCTGATCTGGATTGGAGTCAAATAATAATTTAAAAGTTAGAAATAATACTTATAAGAATGGACTAAAAGGATTTAGTCTGAAGAGAAAAACGAGGAGGCAGATTGATGACATTTTTAGAGGTTTTAGGTGACAAAGATTAATGCAAAGGGATGAGAGGGCAACTATTCATTGCCCCAAGGTGGTGGAACAAGATAGCAGGACTAGGAGGAGGCGTGTCAGTGTCCCACTTTCAATTTCAAATGATGTTTCATGCAGGCCTGAGGGCAGTATTGGTGGATTAGGACCTAGAATCCCAGGAAAATGCATCATCATCCCTTTGGGTTATTTGAATGCACCACCTATTTGCATTGCTGTCTTGAAAGGAGAGTCAGAAATTGGAAGCCAAATGGCATAAATTCCTACTGAAAGGTGTGAAGAAAGCCACACATCACCTGAGCCAGGGTTATAGATTCATCTGCTTGACTCCTCTCACCTCTGTGTCATTAACTGGAATCAGGCAGGATATCCAGCTCCTTTGGGACTCCTCAAAAAGTTAAGGATTAGTAGGGGCTTTGAGCTGTGCATAACTTAGTCCATTGGGACTGCTGTAACAAAATATTGTAAACTGGGTAGCTTATAAACAACAGAAACTTATTTCTCACAGTTCTGGAGGCTGGGAAATCCAAGATCAGGGCACCAGCAGATTCAATGTCTTGCAAACCATTTTTTGGTTCATAAATGGTACCTTCTTGCAGTGCCTGAACATGGTAGAAGGGGTAAGGCATTTCTCTGAGATTTGTTTTAAAAGGGCACTAATCCCATTTGTGACAGCTCTACCCTCATAATCTAGTCACCTCCGAAAGGCTCTACTTCCTAATGCTATTACATTGGTGGTTAGGGTTCAACCTATAAATCTGGGGGACTACACAAACATTTGGACCATAGCAGTAACAGAAAACCCCAGCTCAAGCTGACTTAATGAGGGAAGGTTATCTCCTGTAACTGGAAGTGGAGAAGTAGGTCAGGACCTAAGCATAGAATGAGAAACTTCTCAGCTATGCCATCAAGGTCCTATCCTCTTCATCTCGCCATGCTGGTGTCTTCATCTTTGCCTTCAGCCCGCAATCCTTTCTTTGATGGTTATAAGGTGACAGCCGTGAGAAATTGGAGTGACAGCCTTTCTTATTCATAGGAGAGAAAGAGAAAGCCCACTTTCCGAATCCATGGTATAAAATCCCTTCCTGTTCACCTGATTGGACTAAATTAGATCACACTTGCCTCGTCTTAGGCCAAAATCAATCACCAAGGAAATGCTATAAGCCAACTGACTTTTTGCTCTTAGCCTAAAATGATGTGGGATGGAATTTTGGGAGTTAACTGCAATGCCCACTACACTTCATTCCATCAGGACAAACTCACTGCATGTAGCACCTGCCTGGGTAGGAAAGGAAACTAGGCCCGCTGGCTCTTGCAGTTACTGCTTGAGGATGAGGGTGTTTCTGAATCCCAGTTCCATCTTCTTTTGACTACCATTTATGTCACACTATCAAACATCTGTCACTCAAGTAACACCATCACTTGTTTTGCAATATCAGCATGTCATGTGTATTCCTTTCTTACAATTTTTCTTTAATTGAGCTCACTTCTTTTTCATAATTCTTTAAAAAATGAAACACTATCACCATTGAAATTAGAAAAGCTGTATGTATCTCTTGCCAGAATAAGGTTGCCATAAAAATATGATAATATTAATTTTTTCTAGATACTGCTGCCTGCAAAGATTGTGATTCTATAGAGCTTTTTAAACAGGCAATTAGTAGTATTTTAAAATGTTAAAGACACACCAATACCAAATAGATTTCCTCTTTAATCTAAGTAGTGAATAGAAAAAAATTGAAAGTAGAATAGTTTCCTCACTGTATGAATGAATGCTATCTAATGACATATCTATGTACCACATATTCAGTAACCAAAGGGATTAACCAATAACCAAATTAATTAGTTTTATTTTGCCATTCCATATGGGCAATGCTAGACCTAACCATATCTTGTGTACCGTTAATGATCTGTGCCTATTCTTTGGGAAAATGTCTGCAATGCTATGCTGCCATTCTTCAGTTTTCATATTTCTTTTTTAGCACTAAGGTAGAGAGCAATTGTGAAAATATTGACATTGTTTGCTAGTAGAGAAAAATAGAGAAAAGAAACTGTTATGAAGAAAGTAATAAGGAAGGGAAAATATATTAACTCTTAAATGGAAGTAGATCATCATGAAGGTTTTCATCCTAGTCTTCAGATGGAGTAGACTGAGGGGAGGAGGAAGAGGAGGGGTTGATCTTGCTGTCTTGAGTGGCAGAGGCAGAGGGAAATCCAGGTATAAGTGGACCTGGGCAGTTCAAACCCATGTTGTTCAAGGGGCAACCACATACATGTATTTATTGAGCACTTATTATAATTTTAGAGGGTGTAAGTCAGAGTTCCTACCCTCAATCAAGGTAAAGGAAGACAACATACAGAGGAAAGGTTACATAGTGATAGAAGATGCAGTAAGTTTCAAAGCTAAATTAAATATGATCTGGGTGCTGATTTTATACTTAGCAGTGTATACGTATGATATGTGCACTTTTCCATAAGCAGGCTACTCTTCCGCAGGCTTTTTTTTTTTTTACTGTAAGAATTCAGAAAAGCAACAGAATACTGGTTAGGCCGGACCCATTGGGAAAAGTGGGAACAAACTCAGCCTTCTATGTTTACAATATATAATTTGGTGAAAAAATGGAGGAAGCTTGGGCAAAGGTGAAGAGGCAAGAAGGACAGAGAAAGGCAGGACAAGGCAGCACAGAGCAGATCAGCTCAGGTAAGGTCAGCCTAGAATGACCTGCTGCAGAATGTGGTTCAGCATTTGGCACCGCCATATTGGGTTTTTTAACTTGGAGCCACAGGGGGCAAGCAGAGCTTTAGAAAGTCAGTCAGGCGGGGGTGGACAAAGGAGTATTGAGGGAGGATGTGAGACACTCTGAGCAGGCAGAGAGAGGTCTCTATTCCGTCTTCCCTTTTTCTTAGGCCCAGTCTATGGTACACTTGGGTGTTGCCTACTGGAACTTCTTTCTCTCTAATAGAAGTTGAGCATTGAGGGACTGTGCTCAGAAAAGATGAGCTCAGCCCTGGGCAAGTCTTCACCCAGACAATATTATTCTTCTTGATTTAGAGGTTGCTGCATATGACCCACGCATGGCCAGTTGAGGTTATCAGGGAAGGTGTGCTGAAAGGTTGGGGAGAGATTTTCCTCTCTGGTGAAATAAGGAGGAGGATATATAGGAGGTTTTGCCTCCCTTTTATTCCTCCCTGTGAAGTCGATTCTGCTGAGGATGCTGTACTTGGAGCTGCTGCAACCATATTTGGAGAGGCACTGCCCGGCTGAGGATGGTAGAAGAAGGACAGAGAGGTCAAGGTGGAAGACCTTGATGTAAAGATGGAGGTCCCAGACCAGAGGTCAGCTGACTTGTTGTATGTGACCTCTTGATAAGAGAGGTACTAGTAAGCCCTTCTTGCTTAAATCACTTTAAGTATTTGTAGTTAACTTATCTTTAATCCTTCTACCCACTCATCTACTTCTGATACTAATATGTAGTCAAAGACCAGGTAGAATTATAGGCATTTTCCTAGGCTCTAGAGATCTTCTGACTGCAAAACAGCTGCAGGCCAAAACCATAGGGAGAGGCATTTCCACACCTGGAACTTCCTCTTTCCTATAGTTGGCTTTTGTTTTGCCCCCAATATTTAGCAGAATGAGGATGAGGAGCTCTTTTTAATATGAAAGCATTTCAATAGTAATAATAATTGATATTTTAAGGTTATCATTAATTGGGTACTTACTATACCAGGTATTGTGTTTAACTCTTTCAATATATAATAAATCCTTAAAAAACACTGCAATGAGAACTACTAATATTTCCACATTACAGATAAGAATATCCTAAGTTCAGAAAGTATAAATAACCTGACCTAGATTTTGTAGCTAATAAATTCTTAATGATATAAATGTCTTCTGAGGTCAACAGTGCCTTTAAGGAAATTTGTAATTTCTTAATCATGAATTCTACACACAATTAGAAAATAATGGTGTGCGTAGGTGAGATGTTACGTGTTCCCTCTTTAGAGACAATGCTTGGCATCCGCATGATTCCCAGGTTCCTTGAATTAGTCCTCTGATTCTCCAGGGAGCCAAAGTCCCTGGGCTGTGAATGACCAGCTCAAAGAAGTTCGGGAAGCTACACCCTACAATCTGGAAGCCCAGAGAGGTTGCTTAAACTGCCTCTGGTCGCACAACAAGGTCAAGAATCCTTGTGTGAGGATCCATGTGTTCAAACTCCAGACAGTATCCCAATGATTGGATGATGCCTAAATCTCCATTTTAAGTGCTTATGGTCATTTCAACTGCCAGGCTAATTCATCTATTTTTAAAAATCTTTTCCTATGTGAAAAGAAGAATAGACAGGTAAACTTTCTATTAAGCATTTATTATGTGCCAAGCTCTGAGGTAAGTAGTGGGTATTACCTTATTTGAACCTCACAAACACCCGGCTTTTTAACCTGCCAATTGAAAAAAGCTTGGGCTTTGGAGTCAGACCTGAGATCAAGTCCCAGATTCATCAAGTATTAGCTGCGTGGCTTTGGGCTAGTTTATTTGCCTCCCTGAACCTCAGTGTCTTCATCTATAAGATGAATGTACAGGAGTCTCCCGCTGAGGTTTTGCTTTCTGCAGCTTCAGTTACCCACAGTAAACTGCAGTCTGAAGATATTAACTGGAAAATTCCAGATATACACAATTCATAAGTTTTAAATCATGTACAGTTTTGAGTAACATGATGCAATCTTGTGCCACCCTGCTTTATCCCATCAGGGACAAAGCATCATCTTTTTGTTCAGTGTATCCATACCATATGTGCTACCTGTCTGTGAGTTACTTAGTACTTGGCTTGGTTATTTGATTAAAAAATAATAAGAATAACCGTAGCATGTGTCAGATTTGGTACTATCTGCAGTTTCTGGCATCCACTGGGGGGTCTTGGAAAGTATCCCTGGTGGATAATGGGGGGCTACTGTACTAATAGCTGTTTCACAGAGCTCTTAGGAAGATACTTAAGTTTCAAAATACCAGAGTGCACCATGTGTCAGGCACAACCTCCTCCTTGTTTGTATTGCTTCCTTCAAGTTGTGCTAAATTGGGGGAAAAAAAAACTAAATGAGCACATTTTCTGCAAGATATTGTGGTAAGACATGTTTAAGAAAAATGAGAGAATAAATTCTGTGTCCCAACACAAAAGTTATGTGCCTTGTTACAGGTGACACTGCCAGGTCCCTTTCTCTCCATCTTGGCTTGGGAAAGATGCAGAAACAGTCCCTGTGGCCAAAATTGTAGCCATACAGTTAGAAAGTAAAAGGGGAAGATGTCAGTGGTGTTGAAAGAGCAGCTTCTGCCTCTACTCCTGCAGCTTAGAGGCAGCCCAGGGTGCCCAGAGCACTTCAGTCCCTGCGTGGTGACTGGGGAATGAGGGTCAGGGGCCTGGGTCACTAGTCACTACTTGGGTTCCCTAGTCTGGAGTAGCCCCACGCTCTCTGTATCTTCCTCACCTGATGCCAGTTGGGCACTAAGGAGAGAGATGCCATCTTGGTTTCTAAAACTAACTTTAATGGCCAGCATAGCTAGGGCACTTGAGTTAGAGGAACTGCATGCTGAAGTCTCCCTCCAAAGTTCAGGGAAACCGAACATTCAGAGGCTCAGCCGTGCCTAAGAAGCTGGAAGAAAAGGGTAGGATATGGCTCTCACATCGAGTTAGGGGTATGTGAGAGTCCTCCTGAGCCTTGGCCTGGGGTGCCCTCCCTGTGCCGTGGAGAGACAGTTGCTAAGAAGAGGCTTCCCTCATAAGGCATTTCCATTCGCTTACTTTCAGAAGGTCTTACAGGCTGGTGCCTGAGCTCTGTTTGACTCCTTTGTCTTGATATTGGTTGGGGCATTGCTATTCTCATTGCAGGAGGAATACCAGGCAGGAGAGTCAGTGAATACCCTGCCCTTAGTAATTGACTGATTGGTTCAGGGTCTACTGGTGATGTCCATCAGTGAGGACCCTGCCTCCTTTTCATTGTAATGCTGTTTACGTACCATCTTCCAAGGCTCATTGAGAGCTGACCCCAGCCATGCTTAGACCTCAGCAGATCACCCTGTTGCCCACTGCTTGGATCCCATAGACCATGTCCTTCCTCCCACACAAGCCATCCGTTGCATTAGTAATCTCGCTTTCCCTCCTACTCCTCATCAAACTCAGCTCCTGAATTATTTAGCAAAACTTGACTAGCTCAAAGGAATTCTTTTCACCCTCTGTTTAACATTTATTTATTCCCTTGCCGGGTAAGGCATTTGAAAGCTGCTACTTCATTTGGGTTGGGACTTGGGAAGAGACTTTACTTCTCTGTGGCTGCACCTGATTAAGACCCTGTTCCAAAAATCAGTTCCAGGTGGTACTGTGCTCACTCCCAGTGCTGCTCTCCCAGCCTTTGGTTTTCCCTGTGTGATGAAAACAGCACAGATGAGGGAGCTAGACACATGGTAAGACCCTGGGGCAAGGCCAACCCTCCAATACTTGTGTTTCTTGTTGGTGAAATACATGTAGCAGATACAAATTTCGCTTCACAAACTCAGGCGTGCAAGATATGTAACTATCTTTTGGTAAGAATGTAATTTGTATTTTGAGTCCCCGTTCTGAAGGATGGCAAAATTGTATGCTCAAATACTTTGGGCTTTTTTTTTTGCCTTTTCCCCAGATTTACATTTATGTTCCAGGAACCTTATCTAACAACATGATCATTTCCAGGGCCCTACTGGTCCACGATGTCATCTGAGCATTTGCTGAGCTGTCCTCCCCTATGTGGGTCTCCATTGTCTATTGAGGCAGTTGTCAGAGGAAGTCTCATGTCTGGAGGATCCCTACATGTGGGACTCTCTATTCTCCTACTCAGCCCTTTTTGAGAGCACAAGTGTCATGCTGTGACCTGTCTAAGACTTCTAACACCTCCAGTTGTGTGCTAGTAAATACTTAACCACAGGCTCTGAGGGAGTTACATTCAGAAAGGTGGAGACAGGGAAGTCCTGATTTGAAGCATTTGGAAATTTCCAGGGTGTAGACACTTCTACCATGGCCGTCAGGCTGCCAATGATTTGACAGTCAGCTCACAGAATCCTAGAAATGTCCCAGTCATCTCCAGCTTGCTGTCTCCAGCACACCACTGCATGATGTAGCTTGTAACCAGTTCTCTGGATATGAACTGCCTCCCTGCCATTCTACCTGGCAGGTAAAACCAAGGTCATCTTGCCCTCACATCTCAGAAATAAATCTGATATTTTTTTCCACCTGCTCAGGCTCAGCCTAGGCAGCAGGGCATTGGGCCACTTCCAAAGCGTCTCCACCCTTACCATCTACGCTATCTCAGATTGTTTTCTAATTCCTCCTTCTCTGACTGGGAGTCACTTTTCGAGTTGGCAGATGGCTTTGAGTTAGAGGCATGACCTATTACTGAGCCCAACTCTCAACCTTGAGTGATTCCAGTTGCCAAAGAGCCTTGACTTCTGTAACGGCTGATTTCATACCCTCTCTCCCCAAGGCAACCAACACAAAATAGCCTGCCTGAGTGAAAGGAGAATGGAGCCAAGAGAAGAAAGTAAATACAAAGAGAAAAATTCATTAGTATTTCCAAAGCATTACTCTGTTGCATGGATGTAGTAATATACCACAAGATGAGAAAAATAAGTGAGAAAAGATATAGGAAGAGCTGCAGAGTCTGCCATGGAGAAGGTGCTCCATCGCATGAATGAATGTGATCCCCAATGAAGATATCAGCAATTTCCATTGGTCTGCATTGTGCTGAGTCAAGCATGGCTCCTCTGGGCACTGGCTGCCCTGTCTCCTTCCCCTCCATCACTTTGAGAATGTGGCACCATCCTGGAATCAGAATGACATTCCTTATACCTTTCCACTACAAAGTCAAGAAAGGAGCAGTCACCCTATGAAGAGTTTACAGATTTTGTACACAGCAATGTTTTTTTTTCGAGACAGTCTCGCTCTGTCATCCAGGCTGGAGTGCAGTGACACAATCTTGGCTCACTGAAGCCTTTGCCTCCTGGGTTCAAGTGATTCTCCTGCCTCAGCTTCCCAAGTAGCTGAGATTACAGGTGTGTGCCACCATGCCCAGCTAATTTTTGTATTTTTAGTAGAGACAGGGTTTCACCATGTTGGCCAGGATGGTCTTGATCTCCTGACCTCGTGGTCTGCCTACCTCAGCCTCCCAAAGTGCTGGGATTACAGGCATGAGCCACCACGCCTGGCCCAGGGCAAATTTTAGCCACAGAAATTAAGTGGTAAATGACAATGCCATGGAGAGGGATCAAACACATTTAAGTTGTTTCAGACTCTATTTGGGCTTTCATGGAATCCTCAGTGTGAAAAGTATATTAATAACGATTCCATCCTATCTGCATGTTTTAAAGGACCTGCCACCATTCTGCATTGTGTCCTAGTTGACTGTGTTTTTAATCTCAGCCTTCCTGTTTGATGCACATCCACTGAGGACAGAACCTTGTTGGCTATCAAAAAATGACTGCTAAATTATCTTCTTGATGTCCTGGTTTCATTATGGATTTTCCCTCTAGAAAAAGCTACACACCCAAGAAGGGATGGAAAATGTATATTTCCTCAATGTTGCACTGCTTGCCTTTTGACTTCTAGGCCCATCTGGATCTATCATTTCTTCTGGTTTAGTCTAACTGACCTTCTGTACATGCAGGGAATGTTCATTGTTCTCTCTCTGGGAGAGGGAATAGAATACGACATTCCATCTTGGGTTCACTTAGAGTCTTCATCCATAGAGGTGCCTTTCAACTCATATAAGGCATGGCTGCCTAAGGAAATGGAAATGGTCCTTGGAAGCAAGAGGGGGTTTGCCCTGGCATGGGAAAGGAGAAGGGTTTCACTGTTGGTCTAATCCCTTGAATCTCATACTTGGCATGGCTCTTTTTGATCCTGGGAGAGACAACTGTGAAAAGGAAAACTAGGAGGAAGGAACTGAAGATGTTCGGTTGGCATTGAACTCTGCCACTCCAACACTGACTTTTGATTGCAGTGAGGACCAGGGGACTGCAACCCTGGTTAGGTGCTTATAGAAAATAAGAAGGCCAGGCTCTAGCCTGCAAATCAGGTCAAATGTGAGGCCAGGCTTTTGACATGGGAAAGGGACCTTCAGTGCTATTTTTTCTTTTCTTGAGGGTGAGTGGATACCTTCTCAGCTGTAAAATATCTGGAGGTTGGTATGGGAAGCTCTCTCAATCTTGCTCCAGATTCCTTTCGAGCTTCAGGTTCTAATCTTCATGCTCTGGTGGCATGAAAATATTCTGCAGTATTAACCAATACATTCTCATTTCTAGTGGTTTTCTTACTTACCTTTTAGTCTTCACATTGACACTAGCCTGTGAGGCATCCACTGACTCAGTAAAGGGTTGGTAAACCAGAAAAGTAAAGAGAAGAGTTTAAAAGCTTGGGCATTTGAATACTAAAATCCAAGGCCTTGAAGGATGATGACTGATCAGAATTTGATCAGAGAAGTTTTCCCTCCTCAAACACCATTAGAAGAAAATCCCCTGAGATGAGAGAGGGAAGGAAAGAGAATCAGAGGATGGGATATTGGAGGTAAACTCCAGTGTGGGTCCTCAGAAAAGGTGCCCTGAGCTGTGCCCATACTCCCAGGGTAGGATAACTTAATGATGGAACACCCAGGTAGGACAGGGAATAATCCACGAGTAGCTGTTACCTGTGTCTTCTCAATTGGAGCCTGGGGAGTTTGGTAAAGTCTGTAGACCCCACCTAGCATGGGAGGAATAGACATAAAATGGCTGCATGGCATATTTTTTATTTTTTAGCAGAGAGATCCTGAAATAGTCTAAATTTCCTAGAGCGCCCAGCAATGGTAGACAGCAGCTGAAATTCCTCTGAGCCCCAGAAGAGAGCTTGAAAGTGGCCAAGAGAGAGCCAGCTCTGGAGACCCCCAGTGATGGGGACATACAGGATACAGTAATGACCTCACTCTGGTCTCTAAATCTTGCAGCAGATATTTCTTTTTCCTGGACAAAGAAAAAGGAGTCATGGCTGCAATATCTTAGGGAATCCAAACTAATACTTCCTCAGGGACCCTTTCCAACCCTTTGACAGGAAACCTGCAGGAGGAGAGGGTCACATTTCCCAGCCTCTTCAAGTGGTATGTAGTGCAATGTTCTAGGCCTGCATTACCTAGTATAATAACCACTAGACTTAAGTGACCATTTACATTTAAATAAATTAATATTGAAATAAAAATCCCCTTCTTCAGTTGCACTAGCCACATTTTGAGTGCTCAAAAACCACATGTGCTAGTGGCTATCAGACTGAACGCAGCACTTAGGGCATCTTCACCATCACTGGAAGTTCTGTTGGTCAGCGCTGTGGCCTTTGCTGCTACTCCTGCTGAGACAGTGACCACTGACCACTTCCCCCTTTCCCATCACGTACACATAAACATGCACGTGCCGCAGCAGGCTGTGTCCAGAGAAGTCTGCCCCCAGTTTCTGAGCTGGCTTTTCCCTGGATATGGCCACATCCTGTTAGTGGTATGTTGCTGACTCTTTCTAGTGTCCACACTGCTCTCACCACCACCACCGTTTCTCTCTGATATTGATGTAAGCAAGCCAGTGTCATGAGGCCTGAGGGTTGGCAGCCAACCAGGGGCCATGCTTGCTCCTCCCGTAGCTGCCTCAGGTGCCACAGTCTCTGTGAAACCTGAATCATTTCGTGATATGAGCATCCTGGGACTAACAAGTCATCCTAGACCCAACAGAGACCACAGGGTGAGCAGCATTGATGGCTTGTGTGAATGACGTGAATGGACCCTTCCAGGGTCTGGTTGTTCCCACCATATTGCAATAGAAGGTTTTCCAGGAAGAACCAAAAGAGCTTTATCCCTAAAACCTACCATTCCCATCACTACCATCAACTATTAATATAATTCTTCCAAGATTAGAAAATGCAAGGCCAGTGCCCTCTATTGGGAGCAAAGTCACAGAGGTTGGGGCTTGGACTCCAGTTCTACCCATTCTTAGGAGGGACTTTGAGTATCTCTTTCCTTTTCGGAAAACCGACATAATTGTACCTGCCACATAAGTTTGTGAAGATAAATTAAAACACTTAGGACAGTAGCTGACACATAATTGGGCCTCAATAAATAACAGCTGCTATTTTTACTTCTCAGCTGCCCTCTGGGATAATCTGCATTTTCAGGGCATGGCAGTAGGAGGAAAAATAGCAGTGGCTCCCTGCACCGCAGGTCACTTGATCTTGCCATCTGGCATAATGAGAAATTGTCCTGCTTATTTTGTGAAAACTGCCTCATACCTCAGTCTGCACCTGTTGTACTTTGGTGGGTGCTCAGGCCTTTCAGGAGGCTCTATGGTTTCCTGTGGCTAAGTGGGGGCAGGAAGTGCAGGAGCAATCTCGGGGGGTCTGTCTTGAGGATCTTTTGGGGAAGAGAGCCCAAACCTCTTCCCAGAAGACTTGAAAACATTGTAGGGTTAGGGCACACTAGCCCAGGCCTGCCTAATTTAAGATGTTAGCCAATATCCAAAGGGATCTTTGGAGGAGAGGGGAGCACAGCTTCCCAGGTTCTGAATATTCAGAGGTGACATGACCTTAATCCTTATAAATCGGCCTCAGTGGAGTCCCAGGACAAAAGACTGTTGGCATGGCTCTTCTGGAAGAAGAGTGGCCCATTCTGCTGAATTTGTACTGGAGAGGTTCAGAGGAAATACATAAATCAAGCTGTATTCAGAGTGTCTTGGGAGAACATGGACCTCAGGAAGGGTTAGTCAGGAACTAGATCAAGAGGCAAAAGGACCCATGCTGCAGTCATAAATGGGTCCAAGTCTGAAGTTCAGGGTATCTCTGAACTACCTGGAGCCTTGGTTTGTTGTCGGAGGAAATGAGGTTGGTCTGTCAGCCTGAAGATGCCTATGTTGAAAGTTCCAATCTGCTGAGAAGCATGCATTCCCCATTCCAGAGCTCAGAGAAGACTGATAACCCCAAAGGCTCCTGCCTGACACACTCTTCCCTGATACAAGGGCTCTACTTTAGCCCGATGGCCAAATCACAGTTGTCTCCTGGAAAGACGGCCCTGGAGAAATGGCTCCAGAGACTACAAAATCTTACTTGACTCCCTGGACCCATGCAATTCAACCTGCTTGAAAATGCAATCTTAGTAGACCCTAACAGGCACTGGATTCTGGTCCCATTTCATATCTATCTACACCTCCGATGAGGAATTGACTCCTGATTTATTTGCAAAGACAGAAGTAGTATGGGGAGGGGAAACACTCAAATATTGGAGGAAAATGCACTGAGATTTTAATTCCAGCTTTCCCACTTACTAGCCAAGTGGCCACTGGGTAAGTCACTTAGCCCCTGGCGCCCCAGATGATTTCTCTGGGTTGTTAGAAAATCAAGAAAAACACAACTGGTTGTAGAAAAATCTTGGGAACTCTAAAGTCTTATCTAGGCATAAAGGGTTATCAGTCTGAGCGGCTGATTTGAATTAAGCTAAAGGGAGATGGGGAATAACAAGGTAACTTTCAGTTCTGGCTTTCCTCATACAATCTTAGGAGAGATTTGGTCAATGACAGAAGATGCATGTGGTTAGAAATAGCCTTAGGTGTCAGACCTTCCCCCTGGCTATGTTATCCATCTTTCTAGTCTGTAGGACAGAAATGAAATTAAGAGTATTTAGTGTACCTTTATGTGTATATTTAACCTTATGTTAACACCTTAAAAATAAGGTGTTATGCACTGTGAGGGTTAGAGAATGAAACAAGACATAGATATCGTCTGTAAGGAATAGAACTCAATAGAGGAAATGTAACATATGGACCAAAACATGAGTAACACCGAGTACAAGGCGCAGTGAGAGCACAGAACTGTGGGATCAAGTGAGAAACTATCACTCCCGGTGAATGGGTGGTGGTGGGGTGGCAATGTGGAGCCGGTGGACTACCGCTGTCTCATCACTGAGTTTGTTGGTGCATTAAGACTTCCAAGCTGGGCTTGTGCCTGTGGACCCCAGGTGGAATATTTGAAAAATGCTTAGATATGCTCATCCTGGAATAACTGGGGTGGGTAGGACATCCCATGGAAACTATCATGTGAACAAAGTATTAAGCCTTTGGCAAAAAGTCAAGCTGAATGAGCTAATCCCAGAGAGTACTACAGTTCTCTACAATATTTGTTCTGGATATTGAAGGATGGATTGGGTTTAAAGGAGGCAGTGGGGTGATAACAGGAATGTGAGGTAGAAGGAAATGAAGCTGTGTGCCCAGCCGTGCTCTATGCAGGTCATGATGTGGGAAAGATGACAGGGTGGCCAGAAACTCAACCCTTGATCACCAAGGATCCCTTAAGACCTAAATCCTGTCATTCCATGTAACCCTCCTTCCCTGATCCCCACTCATCCCTTTATTTAGGGTGGATGTTGAGAGAGGTGATTTCTGGATCCCACTGCATAGGCCTTTACAGGTTTAGTAGACATTGCCAGATTGTCTTCTGGAATGACTGCAACAGCATACAGTTCTTACCTTGAATTGTAATAATTCCCACATGTCAAGGGTGGGGCCAGGTGGAGATAACTGAATCATGGGGGCAGTTTTCCCTTTACTGTTCTTGTGGTAGTGAATAAGTCTCAGGATATCTGATGGTTTTATAAAGGGAAGCTCCCGTGCACAAGCTCTCTGGCCTGCCGCCATGTAAGACTCCAGCATTTGCCTTGTACCCTGACTGGAGATATTATTAATCTAAAATTTTAACCGAAAGTTTTAGGTAAAAAATTATCTCTTTAAAATTTGTATTTCCTTCATTATTAGTGAGTTTGAATACTTAAAGGACATTTGTGGCCCCTCTCTTGTGCTGTGCCCATTGGTATTATTTGTGTGGTTTTCGGTAGGATTTACAGAGAGGACAATGGGAGTGGCAGCCTGAAATACGTGATATAGTAGCTCTAGTTCCACTTTTTCTTGTTGATATGTAGAGATTCTTTATATATTGACAGTTTTTTTTTGTAATTTATAAATCAAATATTCTCTTGATTTTATACATGCTGTTGTAGATTATATAGATATTTTAACTTTGAAGTAAACAAAACTATGTCTTTTTATTTATGGATTTTTTTTTTTATTTTAGGTCTTTTTAGAAAACCACAAAACCATGAATATATTCTCTTGTTTTTCCTGAATCTTTATAGCTTCTAAACACTTTTAGCTATGTAAATCACGTAAGATTTATATTTTTCACTGGTGACTGGGAATGAATCAAATTTGTTTCTAAGTTGTCTCTCCAAACCATTAATCGAATAGTCAGTTTTCCCAGCAATCTAAAATATTCCCCTTTAATTAATATATTCTAAGTCACACACATATATAAATGTGTTTGTTGCTATTCTGAGTCTTTGACCTATCTTCTGGTCCTGTATGAATGCTGGTCTTGCTTTGACACACAGACTATAGTGCAGTGGTGCGACCATAGCTCACTGCAGCCTTAAACTCCTGGGCTTGAGCAATTCCCCCACCTCAGCCTCCTGAGTAGCTGGCCTTATAGGTGTGCACCACTATGCCTAGCTAATTTTTTTTTTTTTTTTTTTTTGTAGAGACGGGGTCTCAGTGTGTTGCCCAGGCTAGAGTTGAATTCCTGTCTTCAAGCTGATCCTCCCATCTCAGACCCCAAATTGCTGGGATTACAGGCATGAGCCACTGTGCTTGGATCTAGTTTTAAGTATAGTTGTTCGTTGGTTTACATGGGGGATTGGGCCCAGGACCCCCACACATACTCAAGTCCTACAGTCAGCCCTACAGAACCTACAGGATATGTCGGCCCTCCATAGGGTGGGTTTCACATCTGATGTGACTTGGTTTTGTTCCCACCCAAATCTCACCTTGAATTGTAATAACTCCCAAGTGTCAAGGGTGGGGACAGGTGGAGATAACTGAATCATGGGGGCGATTTTCTCCATACTGTTCTTGTGGTAGTGAATAAGTCTCTATAAATGGGAGTTCCCCTACACAAGCTCTCTGGCCTGCCACCATGTAAGATGTGACTTTGCTTCTCATTCACCTTCTGCCATGATTGTGAGGCCTCCCCAACCATGTGGAACTATGAGTCTATTAAAGCGCTTTATTTTATAAATTACCCAGTCTAGGGCATGTCTTTATTAGCAGCATGGGAACAGGCTAATACAGCATCCCAAGAATACTATATTTTTGATGTGGAATTTGGTTGGAAAAAAACGCATTTAAGTGGACCCTTACGGTTCAAAGCCATGTTGTTCAGGGGTCAACTGCACTATTGCTTTATTAATATATTGATTTTTGAGAAGGGCAATCCTCATTCATTTTTATTTTTATTTTCAGAATTACCATGGCTATGCTTGAGCTCTTATATTTGAATTTTGCATTCAGTTCATGAATTTCCATAGAAACTCTTATTGAGATTTTCTTGGGGATTGCATGGAAATTATAGATTCATTTGGGAGAAATCACATTTTTCCAGGTTTTAACTATCCGATCTAGGAATATGGTAATTGTCTTTACTTTTCAAGTTATTACTTTTGTTTTTTAGGATAGTTTTACTATTTAAAAAAGTAAATAGTGCATATTTCTGATAGGTTTATTACCATGCTTTTTTATGTGTGCTATCATGAATGAAACCATTATCACTGTTGAGATTGTAACCAAGTATGAAATCTTTGTAAATGAACAGGGCTAGGTATGGTCTTTTCTGTAGCCACGTTTTTTTTTTTTTTTGAAAAGCAAAAAGCAGGTAGGAAATTTATATTCATCAGTACTCAAGGAACAGAACTTTGTCTACACCCAGTATGCCACAGAAGGATGTGCAGAATTGTGCAAATAAGGCCATGTCCACAGATCTGAGCCTATACAGGCAGGGAAGTAGAGAACATTGCTACACCACATTTGCTAATTTATACACACAGCTACCAACTATGTAACAACTAAGATCCATTTATACTAGTCTTAGAAAAGATGACCTTATATTTAAAAAAAAAAAAAGACAACACAAGAAACTTTCTAATACCAAACATTTTAATTTTGGTTAAATATTTAGAAAGATCATTCAATGGTCTTCCAAAGAGTTGAAGAGGGTAGCAATTTGGCTGTATTTCAGTTGTAGTCTAATTGGGTTAGATTATTAATGAATGTGATTTGCTGTAAGGGCACATTTCAATGCAACTTGAAATTCTCAAAGCTAGCCATGGTCTAGACTCTGAGAGCATGTCAAGTGCAGAGTGGATATTGAATGCACCCATTTTTACTTCTGCAATCACTTTGTATGAAAATTCATTTTTTCTGAATGAAAATGTAGAAGTGATTGAAATGCTCTTCCAGGCCAGTAACAGCTTGTGTAGTTCTCTGGCAGCCATCTTGGGACAGATGGTTTTACTTTCTTTTGTGACAGGAGCAAAGTAAGAGCTACAGGGAAAGACACCTTTCCTCTTTGGGATTTTTTCCGGTAGTAAAATAAAGTTTTATGGCTTTCTTATCTCTACCTCACAGAAGTATTTCAAGAACCTAAGAAGTATGCCAATGTAGACTGCCACCAAATCTCAGACGGAGAGCTGCATAAAAATTCATGTAACTAGCGGATACCAATTATCTTGAGGCTTTCGAAGTGACAACAGTAGACAGATTTAGGAATGAAGACTTAGACCCGTGTTCCTAAGAACAATGAGAGTGTCGGATGTCCCAAAAGGAAAAGGAAAAATCCCTTATCAGGATCCATAAATTTGGAGTCTGCTTATTATTAATAGTTTGTTGTGGAATTCATGAGAAATTATAATAGTTTATAAACTCACTTTTTCAAGGTATTTTGAGCCAGATCTGCATATGATTATTCTTGGAGGGTTTAAGGGCAAAAAATTGTTTAAATGTGTGAGGTGACAACATATACCGTGGTCTTTGCCTACTGTTTGAAATAAAATTCTGAAACCAGAAAACATACAATCCAGTCAAAATATTTGCCGAATCGACGTTACCACAAAGTATGATGTCTTTTATATATGTAGTTTTATACAAAGATCAAGAGGATTTGTGTCTGTGTGTGTGGTTTATAAAACCACTGTAGTCAAAGCTTCTCAGAAATACATGGTATTTATAAGGGCTAGAGGTGTGCTGATTTTTGGAAAAGAATTAATACATAATTTGAATTCAGAGTACAAGCTTTTAAAAAATAAGATCCAGCTTGGAGAAGCATTTCTGAAATACCTCTAGGGAATAAATTTCTTTTATTAATCCAGTCAGCCATTGGATGTCATTCTTCCAATTTAATTACGTTTATCTGCTAATGGGTGACTCTGTTTCTTGTGGATATAATTTCGGTGGGTGCAAATGGTGATGGCAAATAATTGCCCTCAGGGAGATAATTGCTGTTACAATTATTTACCCATCCAAGTTAGCTCTGTTAAAAATTTAACACTCTGTTAGATGACCTGGAAATGTGAGAGAATGTGTTTTCTATGTGCTGAAGTAGAAGAGGAGCCCTTATATTTCTTGGATATTTTCTAGGGGCCAGGTACAGTACTAAGTGATTTAGAATCATCATCTTGCTGAATCCTCACAATCTTCTTATGGAGTGAGTATGATTATCCTCATATTATTGATGAGGAAACTGAGGTCATACAGACGGCAAGTAGAGGAACTGAGACTCAAACCCCAGCTAAGGGGCTGGTATGAAATGATTCCTATTTCACAGGGGGCTTGCAAGGATTAGACGAGGAGACAGTTTTGTAAAGAATTTCGCCCGGCACCTGGTACGTTGTTGTTATCCTAGTGTCTATTCATAGACATTTTTCTTCTCTAACCACTGCCCTGCCTCCTTTCAGAAACCTATTGTTATGAGCAGGGCAAAGCATTGTACCTGAAGCCTAAATGACAAATATTTCCTTTGAGGTCTTTGCACGCTCCAAGTTCTTCAGAAAGCTTCCTCTGGCTATTTCAGGTCATAGGGCTTCTCTCCGCTCCAAATGCCCATCACTGTCATGTACTTACTGCTCAGTAGGAGCCCTTGAATAGACAGGGCTCTGATAGCGGTCTTTGTATTATGTGGGTTCTTGTCTTGCCTCAATCTACATTGAAAGTTTGAGTACAGGTTCTCCTTGGATCTCTCTACACGTCCTTAGAGGATACAGGGCTCCATACCAGGCTTTGAACCAGTACTCTTTGATTAAGTGTGAAATCTACAAAGACATACCTACCTGGAGGTTAGAAGACTCAGGTTGAAGGCTCAGGTGTAGGGTGGGTTTTCATTATGAAAATTTGGGAGGTAGTATCATCTCTCATTATTGTCACCTGTTGGCTGGCCTTCCTCTTTCCATATTTGTATAGTGTGGTGGTGTGGTGTGTGGGGTGAGGATCTTTTGAGTTTTCTCCTTTTGGAAAAACTCACACTACCAACTCCTTGCACCCACCCTATATGCACCCATTCCCAAAACACACAAAGGGCTGGAGAAGAGCATGAGAGGTCACCTTTTTGGGTGAGAAGAGTAATGTTTCTGAAGCAAGGCACTGTTTGGGAAGGGTGTTCTCAAAGCAGTTGCTCATAGAGTTTGGGGGTATGCACACTGGTTGTGTGTCCTCCCAGCATGTGGACTTGCCAACATGTCTTGTTGCTACCAGAGCAGACTGAGAAGAGGTGTGGGGAGTACACTGGAAAGATGGGACCATGGAGGAGGGAGGCAGGGACAGCCCTTGGAAGCTATCTGTTACTCATAGTGGGGAATAAGAGCCCTGCTAATACTTCCATCCTAGAGTTCAAGCTAAAAGGAAAAGATGAGGTTAGGCTATGGGCTTCCCTGAGACTAATCCATGCAGGGGAAAAGGGTGCTTACTGAAGGGGGGTGGAGCTCACAGCGGGCAACTGAGAGTTTGCTGGGAGTTGGAGCTGCCTCTCAAAAGGGAGCCCCAGAGCTGAAGGGAGCTGTTGGATGGTTTTCTCCTTCAGCTAGGCTTACTGGAGCCTGCCTGCCTGCCTCCAAACGTACTTGAGAGACGGAGCTGCATCAGTAGTGGTTGTCAGTGATGGCAGCAAGCTTAGCCACAGGCAGTCTGCTGAATGTACCTCACTTCCCTCTTCAGCTCCCACACCTCCATCTGGAGCCCAGTTGGGGCAGGGAAGAGAAAAGGGGTAGGAGAGGGTAGACCACACTTCCTCCTCCACTATAGGCCCCCCAAGCCACAGGCCAGGCCTGCCATTGTGGGGGTTAAAAGGTATATGAGGATGAAGTTCTCAAATGGTCAGGACTGGATCTTAATGAGTGAAGCAAAGCTCTTTTAATAAGTAGAAATGACTAAAAAATTAAGGAATGGACTGAGAACTCATCAAGAGAGTCACTACTCAGCAGGACAGAGGATTACCGAAGAGCAGAGTGGTAACAAATATTGGCAAATAGAAGTGGTTTTGTATTTATATGGCCAAAAATGAGACTTCTCAATGAAACTCATGACTTCCTGAGACTTGCCGGGGAC
The DNA here is from genome assembly GCF_000001405.40 of Homo sapiens. Taxonomy (NCBI): domain Eukaryota; kingdom Metazoa; phylum Chordata; class Mammalia; order Primates; family Hominidae; genus Homo; species Homo sapiens. Next base: position 92,176,065 of record NC_000015.10, on the reverse strand, counting down.
TGACACTGGGCTGTACATGTACATTGAATTCTCATGATGTCTCTGCCAAGCAGGCAGCTGTAACCTTCCCATTTTATAGCTACATAAAGACTGGTTTAGAGCGAATCTTGACTTGCTAACCTGGCGAGGCTGAAAAGTGGCTGAACCGCCGGGATGTAAACCTGTTACCTGCTCTTTCCCCTATGCCAGCGGTCCCTAACCTTTCTGGTTTCATGGAAGACAATTTTTCCATGGATGGAGAGAGTGGGGGTGGGAGGTGTAGAGATGGTTTCATGATAAAACTATTCTCAGGCATTAGAGTCTCAAAAGGAATGCAACCTAGATCCCTCGCATATACGGTTCACAACAGGGTCCATGCTCCTATGAGACTCTAATGCTGCCACCGCTGATCTCACAGGAGACAGCGCTGAGGCGGTAATGCTCGCTTGCCTGCCACTCATCTCCTCCTGTGTGGCCTGGTTCTTAAAAGGCCACCAACGGGTACCAGTCTGTGGCCGGGAGTGTTGAGGACCCCTCCCCTAAGTCATCTTGCTCTCCTATGGCCCCCAGTTATGAAGTGGCCACTGTGTGCAGAGGACTTCATGGAGTCCTGTCCATACTCACTTGCTAAAAGTCACGGCCTTGCTTTAATCTGACATCTATCCATTTGAAATATGGAATGAAACTAACCATCTTCCTCAGGGTCTATCTTCCCAGGGAGCATGGGATGCAGGAAGTGGAGGGTAAGACCAGGTCGCAGTGAGGCCTCCTCATGTGCATTCAGCTCCCTCCTCACCCAGCACGGGTCTTCACTCTGCATTCTCCTCCCCAGTAGCTGCCTCAGTGACTTTGTCAGGACCAATCCACTGACACCACCTGAGAAAATAATTGGCAGTAATGTGACCCTTCAAGAGTCACATTCTCAGGCACAGATGAACTGGAAATAAAATCTTATTTCCAACATCCTGCTGAAAAGGAACATCTCCTTTTGTAGTATTGCATTGTCATGTCTAGTCATTTGCACAAAACTTGAAGGGCTAGAAAATGATGATTTTAGAAACAATGGAAAAGAATTGTCATTTTCTTTGGGCTGTTTTTTTTTTTAAACTTATATCAAGCACTAATTTTTACTATGAAAATATAGTTGCCTCAATACAGAATGATTGTCCACAGAAATGGAAGCATAAGATAGAGGGCAAGGTAAGCTTCTGAATGAAGAAAGGAGCCAGCTGCCAAGCTGAGGGGTGTAGAGTCTGGGGACAGAGGTCTTCCACTTCTTTCTCATTGGCAGCATGTTTCAGTTGCATCTGTGTCCTGTGGTCAAGACCTCAGTGATGTGTGATGTAGAGAGGCCTCACAGGATAATACTTCATCTCTGAAGGAGACCAGGGGCACCTGTCATATTGAGTTGAAGTCCCTGGTCAAACTCATACACTGGCCACCCTAGCTTGCTGTTCTGTCTTCTTTACTTCACCCCTTAATTTTATGAGCAACAGAGGAGCAGGATTCTGGAAGATCTGAAGTGCCCTCCTTTGGGGATCCCATAAATACATGTTCATGTATTTTATAACTGGAAATGCTATAACTCAAGAAGGTTAAGAGACTTTTTAAAGGCTTCCAGGAAAGCAAGTGAGTCTGCCTTGTGCATTAAGTGTAGACACTTGTCTCAAGAGTTATGGAAGCTGTTCCATAACAGTAGCTCGTTAAGTAACAAAGCCTAAAAAGAAGACAGAAAGCTCTTTGTAAAGGGGATGTATGAGTGATTCTGAATCCATGTTATGGGGCCACAGAAACAGCCTGCTGTTGTTTTGGTTGAGCCAAATGCTTGAGTGCATGGCTAACCCTTTCCTGAAGACTGGGAAAGAGGTCGAGTTGGACTTTCAAGCGTGGAAGATGAGCTAGTTGTGTATGTAGTTCAAGGCCCTGGTGGCCCATGGCAACTGAGAGGACATTGGGAAGAGGGGGCATTTTGGGGTCTGATGAAGCCGTGTATTCTCTCTGAGTTATTAATAGTTGGACAGCTTTTATGGACAGATTTCTCATGAATTCACTTAAGTATTGAAAGATGAATCTCTTGACTATAAGAATATGTCTTTGCAAGGCTGAGATAAAATGGAGAGAATAAGTTTTCTTTAAGTTGACCACCTGTATGGGGGAATGGTAGCCAGGGAAAATAAACTGGACTATAGATAAAAACAGATGTAAAATGTGGGACTGAACACACGGATACCTTAAGCACTAGCCTTTCCTTACTCCTTTCCCTTCTGCCTCCATCTCAATTTCTGGTGCAGGTGAAGCCCAGGAGGAACCGCTAACAACTTTTACAGCTGCTTCAGCATCTTTTAACATCAGGACAGAGAATGTTGAAATTGCATTTTCTTGGGATTTTTATACTGGAGAGAATAAATCATGTTGCTTTGCAAAAAATAAACAATCACATAACACAGCCAGGCTGAAAAAGGATCCTCCAAGGCACCAATGGCCTATAATTGGACCTTGAAGAAAGTCAAGCACATTGTTTCCTGACCCCCTAAAACCTCAGAGTGAAAAGACAACTCAAGGCTGAGGTGGATGCAGTCTTCAGGTAATAATAGATTTGACAAGCTTTGATTTGGGGTGAACTCAGCTGCAGTGGATGATGGGCTACAGAGGACAAGATTCAGGATGGAGAGGACTATGAAGAAAAGTGGTCAGTTATGGGGCTAGCCCCATAAGACAAGTGGATTCTAAGTGCTTTGCCCAAAAGACAAAGCACAGATAGAATTCTGGCAAGCATCCATGCCTGAGCTCCAGTCTGGCCAGTGGAGTAATGCAGTGGGGATTCCATTCTGCAAGTCAGTGGCAGGTGTCAACCCAACCTATCTGCTCATATGAGGTTGGAGTCCAGCCAGTGAATTAATAAAGATACAGAGGTGAGTCCAGCCAATTACGAAGAGACCTAGCAAGGTATGGGAAAGCCACTAGAGCTCTAGCCACTGGGTAGCTTGTGGACCTACAGAAAGGGAGGCAAATGCTGTAGTTTCCACTGAGGGAATGGGACTGGGTCTGAGGCTGTTTGTTCATCATTCATTCATTTGCATATTGATCACCCACGGAAGAACATGCACTGTACCTGGGCACTATACACTATACATGCACTGGGGCTTTTGTGAGATGAAGCCAATTGCCTGTCTCCTAGGCTTTACAGGCAGTGGGAGAATCAGAAATGAAAACCAGACAGTGAGAGGATAGGACCACTAAATGTTACCAGTAGAAGCTGCATGGTATGGAGCATTTAGATTCCAGCCAGAGGTTGGGGTAGTAATGAACAATGACAATTTCTGTGCTGTATGTTGCACTTGGTACCTTTACACATGATCTAATTTAAGTCGTACCATAGTTGCATAAAGTAGGCATTAATATTCTCATTTTACAAATGGTAAAACGGGGGCTAAGAGGAGTCAGATCACTACATTAACATCACACCAACAGTGGGGTAGGGATTTGAGTTCAGGTCTCTCTTGGCTCTAAAGCTCATACTCTCTTAAGTCCATAACCTCAAAGCCCATAAATATAGAACGCACATAGCCAGAAACACTCTCCAGAATCTTTTAGAATCATTCTACCTGAAGGCACAAGAAAGATAACAGAGATTAGAGCATGAGACAGAGGAAGAATTAAAATAGTGCTTTTAATATAATTTTCAGCAAACGTACAGTATGTACTTTACATCACATATTTCTAAACTGCTCATTTGGAAAATAAACGCTGCAAAAATACAGAGTACCACACTCAAAAATCTATTGAGTATGTGCTTTTTCCCCCCTCCATTCTATGCAACAGGTTGGTTTTTACCCTCTCGGCTGATTTCATTAAAGCTGTTGGAGCCCTCAGTCAGAGGAGCATTCCCAAGAGGGGAGTTTCTAAAGCATGTCGGCAAGCCATCCCCAGAGGAGGTAGAGGGATGGGTGGAAGGGAATTTGCACACCAGGTCAGCATGACTCTTTAGAGACCCAGGAAAGATGCCTACTCTGAGAGCTGTTTGGAGTACTCCTGACCATAAGTCACCTCTTTGGTCCTCATCACAGGCCTGCGCTTGGGGCCTCAAAGGACCACACACTGGCTGGATAATCCACATGGGGACCCTCGGGTTCTCGGACAGGGAGGAGCGCGCTAAGTGAGGCCCGCGAGGTCTGTGGGTGGTGGTGGGCTGTTCTCTCCAGGAAGAGGAAGAGGGCCAGGCCCTCAGCTTCTCACAAAGGAGTCTTCTGAAGGTGAATGTGATTCGGGGCAGGTTTTCTCAGTCTCAATGTCTTGGTACTCTGTGCCTAAAGGGGGAGGAGGGAAGAAGAGCCAAGAGGAAAAAGAGATCGGTCTTTTCTGCTTCACCTACTGTTTGTTAGGCTTATTTAATAGCATGATGGCTTTGCAGTGAAGGGACAAGAGTAGGCAGTCAAAGCAATAAAGTGCTGGGTTTCATTCCATGTAACCCCAAGGGACCAGACTCTGAGCCCAGAGACTTTTTTGAAGGCCAAATATCCTTTCTGGGAAGGATATTTATCTACATGACCAACCCCACAGCCAAGCAGATGTCGGGGATGAGTAAGATGTATCCCAGTCAATAATTTATCCTTATCTTATGTAAATTACTAGTGACAGACCTTGTGTTCTGGGGCTCTAAGTGTCACTGTACATCTCTATTGAAGAGATTCCTGAGTGTCACAGAAAACTGCCTGGCATCACAATGTCATATTTCCTCCTCCAGCATTCGGGACAGTTTGTTTTTTTGTGTAGCCACAGATATTCACTGCATGCTGGCTGAAACGATATCCTCTTTGGAGCAAGGTTTTTAAGCCTACGCCACATTTCCAGAATAGATGCTGTGGCTTCATTTTAAAGGTATTAAAAACACAACTAGTCTCAGTGATGATTCACAAGCTGTGCAGGTCTCATTGATTGTGACATGCAGCTCTCCTGTTCAATAGGCACAACGAGGCCACAGAAGTCTCTATTTATTTGTCCTCTTTAGACTTTGACCCAGCGCTACAAAGGTGACAGTTTGGAAATGTCATTCCTTTCCTCGGGATTGTGAAGCTGAAGCCTGAGTCCTGGGCAAGTTCGAGCATCCTTCCTTCACTCTCACAAGGCCTACGTTCTTACAGTCTTGGGTTCCACTGAAAGACTTGGGCGTGGGGAGTTGGGAAGGGTGGGACCGAAGTGAGAGAGCTGGGGTTCATCCCTGCTCAGCAGAATGAATAAGATAAAGGCTGATGAATGGCTGGGAAGTTCCTGCTGATGTGGCTAAGGTTGAAGTAGGAAGGAGGAGTGTTTTGAAAGGTTTCCAACATTTAATTATTAAAGTGAAACCTAGATTCCTGTGCCCATAGGCAAAACTTTGCAGAGATTCTCACCTCCAACTCCTGGCTCACTTCTCTATGAAACAATAGACTCCTGCTAGGGGTTTCCCACAGGTAGACGCTCTGTTGGCTTTGCAGAGGCTTCATAAGAAGCTAGTTCCGTGTTCTAACTTCGGGGGCTTTGTGTTGTAGTGGAAAGAGCACTGGTTTAGGAGTCAGATCTGTCACTGGCTCCTGGTGGCTTTATAAACTAGCTATGTGATCTTAGAACGGTTGGATTTGCTGAGCTTTAGTTTTCAGACCTGTGAAGTGGAAAAGAATATATACTTACCTCGTAGGGCTGGTGTGAGAAGGCTGCTGGGAGCAGTACCTGGGATCATGAATTCACAGAACCCGGCACGTGGGTAGCAGGTGCTTAATAAAAACATGAGCTTCCTGGCCCCTTCCCTCCCTTACAGTGCTGGATGGGAGCACCATCTGTGTTCAGTTGGGATCCTTCTGTAGAACATTTTGTAAATTCTATGCTTCCAATTCATTTTATGGCCTTAGATTATAAAATCAAATGGTCTTGCCAAACATGTCTCCATGAGAGCAATCTTCTATAAGGTTAGTGTGAGAATCTTCTATAAGGTTAACGTTAAGAAAAACATGAATGGGATGGTAAGTGTCCACCTACAGAAAGTTAAACTTCCAGAAAACTTACTATGTTGTTCATTTGCTCATAGCAAAAGAACGTAATCAATTGTATCTTACGGGACAAAAATTCAAAATTTATGATAATCACCAACTCCTGATTGTTGACCTGAGTCACTATTACAAAAATGGAAATGTCTGGATATTCTGTTCCTAAAAGCCTGGAATCTGAGAACAGAAGACAGAACAGCAAGCTAGGGTGGCCAGTGCATGAGTTTGACCAGGGACTTGAACTCAATATGACAAGTGCCCCTGGTCTCCTCTGGAGAGGAAGTATATCCAATTAGGGACCAGCTTCGGTGTGTTTGAAGCCCTGGGGTCAGAGCTGATCTCCTGTGGTTGATGCTGTAGACTACAGGGGTGCCAGGCATGGCAGGTATCTGGGGTCTTTCCGGGGGAGCCGATGACCAGCACTGTGGAGTGCCTCCCTGGCATCTTGGTGCTTTGATAGTGCATTTCGGAATGCACTAGGAGTCTCCTATCTGATTCCTCTTATCTGTCTGTTTCAGGTAAAATACTTCACATCAATGGACCACTGGGATCAGGGGTTAGAAGGACACACAGCCCCAGAGCCCAGCTGCCATGGTGTCCTGGTTGTTACATCAGGAGGCACGTGGGAGCATGTGGGGCCCCACAGTCCACTCGGGCCAGGGTCTTCTTGATCAGTGTCTAAAGGTGGGGAGGGAGGTCCCTCGTGTCTTACCTGGTAGGGAGGTAGTACCCATAGTGGTTATGGGTCTGTCTGGGAATAAGGAGAGCTTTTAAAGACCTAAAAGCTTTTTCACAGACCTGGGTTTGAATCCCAACTCTGCTTTGTGAATTTGAGCCAATTCTGGACCTTCCGAGTCTCATTTTCTTCCCCTGTAAAATGAAGCCAATAACAGCTCCTACCTCACAGGGTTATGGTTGAGATTACATGAGCTAATACATGAAATAAGCTCAGCCAGCAGCTGGTTCATAGTCAGTGCTTGAGAAATGTTAGCTACTATTATTAGTGCTTACCAAGTATTTTACCTGGCATATCTGTTAACTTTAGGGTGCCAGTGTTTTGTGTTGGTTGTGGGGAGGAAAAGGATTGGAAAATACTCTTTGGTATCTGGAATCACTCTTCTTTTTCTAGTTTGAACATTTCTCCCTCATGTGCCCATTTCCATCATTTAAGAGAAAAAGGATGGTAACTCTAGTCGAGCTACAGTGTCACAGCTATATGGGAATGTAGACTATACAGTTCAAATCCGCCACGTCACACAAGAGAAAAATAATGTTGCCTTCAATTTTAACCATGAGAGCAAAGGGGTACTTACTTTATTCTTGGAAATGAGATATCTGAATTAAGAGTCTCATGGTCAGGAGTGTTAAGGCTGATAGACACCTAGCTCAGGGTCCCTTCCTATGTATGCCCTGGCCCATGCTACAGCAGTCTTAGGTGCTGGGATCTGCCTCACCTATGCTCAGCCGCTAGGGTCCCCCAAACATGCAGTGCTGCTTGAGACCTTGCCTGTGCAAGAGAACAGAGATCAGCACACGATGGCCTTCCCTCAGTCACCGACGGTCTTTGTAAATAAAGCTTTATTGGAACATAGCCCATTGGTTCACCTGTTGTCTATGGCTGATCTCACAGTACTACATCAGTTGAGAAGTTGCAACACAGACTGCAGGCCCACAAAGTCTAAAATGTTTACTACTTGGCCCATTAGAGAAAAAACTTGTGAATGTTTTGGTGGCGCTCTCTCTGGGGGCAATTCTGCCCTCATCTTCTCACCCTGCTTCCCCAAAAGTCACCCACTGCTCTTTAGTTCTTAGTTTCTAGGCCACCCACTCTCCAGAGCCTTCCTGATTCTTGCTGCCATGAGGCAGAACTCACCACCATCATGAATTGGCTCTCCTTATCCCCAGACAGACCCTAGCTCTTAATACTATTATCCCATTGGTTTTGTTTGTGTTCAGATCTGTCCAGCTCATTGAAATGGGGGTTCTTGGAGGGTAGGGACCAAAACTTTTCCACTTTTGCATCTGATCTAGGGCTTGGCATATAGCCAAAATTTTAAGTAAAGGAATGAAAAAATACATGTTTTGAATATATCAAACTCATGCAATGCACGCCCAAATAAACTCTGCAAAGAAAAATGCTAATGTGGATAGTCTCTGAGAAGTGTGAGTTGTCCCTGTCTCCATGGCAGTCACAGGTTTCTAAGGGACAGGGCCATCTTTGCTTTCCAAAATTTTCCATTTTAGGTTTGATAACCCATGTTGTCCCTGCCATGACGACCAAGCATTCTGGGTTGCTGAAGCTACTGATGAGGCAGGCGTGGGTGGCTGCATGCATTCAGGGTGGATTCCACATGCTGTTCTAGGCAACAGGCCCCATAAGAGGCATTTGAACAAAAATCTGCCTTGCATCTTCCACCAGTGAGAGAGTATTCCAATTTACTCTTGAGCAATGACAGTACACTAGGGGCGTGGGGTCCAAAGTCTGTCACTTAGGGTGGTTTACTGTAAGGGATTACGTTCTTGCGGCTGTTGTGAGAGTAGCAGTTTGGAATAAGTCGGGCGGAGCAGGTGTAATAAAAAAGGAAGGAAGGTTAGAAAATGGATAAATACTATATTTGGGTCTTGAACTAATTTTCCAGGCCAAATTTAATTTCACTAGCACCCTCTCTTGGAAAAGTTGGCACCTCTTAGATATTTGAAGTGGATTCTAACCTAAGGGGGAACGGTCCCTAAAAGGAAACATGGATCATGGTTGAGAGGAGGTCAATCAGAGGAGAATGGCGTGAGCCCAGTGGAGCCAGCAGGCCCCTGCCATGTGTCTGGTACTTTCCTCTGGCTTCTGGCCAGATATGTGGTTCTCCCAAGCCATCAAGATAGTCAGGTAAGAATAGCACCAGGCAGCGGGAAGTATTCTCCATCTGTTAGACTGAAAAAACTGCATGGTTTCTTCCCTCATCTAAACCAAATCAAATAAAATATTCAAGCAACAATAAAATATAGCGTAACTCCGTCCAACTGCAACAGAAGCTCATCCTGTTTTTCTGGTCTTGACTGTATGATCAGATGCATTGACCTCTATGCACTGACCTTCATAGCTTGCCACTGCTGAGTAGGGCCTTTGGAGTTCCTAGCAGGGCTTAGAGCAGACTGCACAGGTCTGGCAGGCATGGCTGGGTGGAGAAGAAACCAGACTTCCTAGGACCGGAAGCAGCAGGCGGCAAGAAAACCAGCCCAGCAGGCACACGGGGACCCAGAAACTACTTTTCCTTGGAGGTTTTTCTATTTTAGTACATGTATCTATCTCCATTTTAAATGTTCCTCAGTGAATGACCTCCTCTGGAAGGTGTGAAAGAATATCCATTAGCAACCACAGGAGAATCTTTTTCCTGGGAAAATTCCTCAAGAGTGGTGTGACTACCATCCCAGGGACCAGCTGGTTGCCCTTGTGTGGAACGTTTCTGCAGGCTTTTTGACTGTAAGGGCTGGGAAGCCCTGCCATAGTGTGAGTGAGGGGAAGCTGGAGGGCAATTACTGGACACAGGGCAGTGGAATCGGGGGACTGGAATGTACAGATGACACTCAACCAATCTTTAAAAGTCAGCACTAGAGCGAGTTATTCCATGATCAGATGGTGAGAAGGAAGTGATTTTTATGGAGGGGCACGCTCCCTCCTGCTAGGAAGACGTTAGCAACCCTGTCAAATGATTCCTTAGGAGCTCCTGGCTTTCCAGTTATTATTTTGCCTGTTAAGTGTTCCTAGCAAGCTCCTCGGGGGGACCGTGAGAGGAGGCTGCTTCCACTCCTTCGCTAGCTGTGAGGAAAGCCCGCATGCCATGCTGTGGCCTTCTGGAGCCCTGTCCCCCAGGGTGCCTCAGAGCCAGCGTTCCCTGAGAGCACACAGCCTCAGCTGAGAGAAGACAGCAAACCCTGTCCCCTAGAGAGGCATTTTTGCAAAATGTGCTTACTTCATAGGAGGGAATGATATTGGTAGAAAAACAAAACAAAACAAAACAAAAAACAAAACAAAACCCAAACCTTCTTTGTCTCTACGTAGGAGTTACAAAGATCTGTCAATTTCAGCAGAGAGAGACTTTTCATCCACCCTGGGCATGTTCAGCTGAGATGGTGTAGGAGTTTGTAGCAGAAGAGAGAGAACTCTAGCATTCACTTTCTAGGTTTATTCCATCCCGTACATTTTTGTATTCTGTAAATCCAATGATCTTACCAGGAAATCTTTTCATTCACTTGAAACCAAACAGATAATCGAGGGGCTGGATCTAGTGTTGTATGTACAATGCTTCTTTAGAGCACAAAAGGCAAATTAAAACTAGACTGAGTTTTCTGTTCGGTACTATATGAGAATAATTAAAATTTTAAAAGACGACACAACAGAATTCAGAGCCATCCTGCAACAGCGGTCTTTAAATTTATACCCAATTGCTGATAAAACTCAGCCCTGGAGTTGTCTTCCTGTTATTCTAACATCTTTTTCACATTCATCCTAAAATCTTAGGAAAAAAAATCCAAAATGCAAAGAGTTTAAAAAACTTTCTTTTTTTTTTCTCTCAAAGCAAATAGTTCCATAAAACACTAGGTCAAAGGGCCTCAGTGTGTGTGTACTGAGTTTGAAGGGCCAAGCAATAATCTATAAGAGTGACCTATTAGCAATATATTTGCAAAACTAAACCAAAATCTGTACAGGATATTATCAAAGCCTTAGGAACAACAGAACATACATATTTTATGAAGTGGTTGGAGAACCATCTCCCCTTTAGTAGTTAACGTACTGATGAGTGTCCCCATTTTCATAAGCAAGGACATACTAACACTAAGCAGTTGAAAGGCCTGTCTCAGAAGCATCCTGCCCCAGGTAGCTGATCACGGTGGCCCCATACCACGACACAGCTTTTCTTTTGGTTGGTCTTGCTGAGTGCCTTCTCTAGATTTGGGCTGTCATTCAAGCCTCTTCATTTACAATGTTCATTAAAAATTCGGTACCATACCTGTCCCACTCCCAACCATTTTTTACTTCCTGATTCTTTTGTTTGCCTTGTGGGTAAAATGCAAATGTGTCCAAGGTGAAAAAGCAAACCAATCAACCTTTGAGTTTTTTTTCCAGCGCCAGGAATGTGACATGAACAAAGGTCACTGAAGCAGCATGAGGAGTAAGTTAGCAGGGCCCTTTGTTGTGTGTGTATGAGTGTGTGCCTTTACCTAAGCTCTGTCCCCTTACAGAAATGGCCGTAGAAGGCCTAGTGTGCTGGTTGCGAGAGGTTTTCCAACGTGATTCTTACCCCAAATCATAACAGGTTCATTCTCTGAGGTTCACCCACCTTCAAAACACACAGACAAGGGCCTTAGTTCAAGACTAACACTGAAAATGTCACAGACATTTTCACGCATTGGACACACGACAGCTTCCAGGAGCTTGTGGGTCTATTCGTTATCAGAGATGCTACAGACTTCTTAACAGCTTGTGTTAGGGAACTGTTCTTCTTTCCTATCCCCGGAAGTGTTGCACCCATACACACAAACCCACATCTAAGAGTGTCTCCTCCACAGGCTGAAAAGAACGCCTCTTGGAATGTCAAGCATGAATATAAAAGGGTTTCCCGTGACAGTGATCACTGAATCATGGGGAAGGAAGCTAAAAGGCAAATTTGCAATTCATCACATTATCCCCTGTTGTCTCAAATGTGATTCTTTTAAAGGCAGGCTGCATATACACTCTCTTTTTGAAGCATTTTTTTTTCTTCTTGTAACACATTGTATATTCTTGTTTTTGTAGAATATTCGAATGAGGATAAAATGATGAAAATTACAATAGGTTAATTGCATCCCTTGTATCACATATTTTTGGTGCATTAAAAAAGGAGAAAAAAAGTAAAAGCAACCAGCATAATAAATCCGGCCTAGAGAACTGTGTTAGTGACTTGAAGGGTTAACACAGATTTTAGAAGTAGTTAAAAATAGTATTAGAGGATTATACATACAACAGTTTGAAATTCATATGGATTGTATTTTTTTCTTTTAAAAATGGCAAAATGTTTTTGGCAAATGTAAGCAAATGACTTGGACTGCGTTGGGTCTCACCAGCTCTGAGCCGGGTCAGTCATAGCCAGGCGAGGCCTACTGCTTCCTGAGGTCACTCTGTGGGGCTGGGGGAAGGTGGATGCCCGCCACTGGGAGGTGCTGGCCCCCCACCTGGCTCCCCCTCAGGCCCTCAGTCTTGAACATGGAAATGGAGCTGGTGAGAGGTGCCAATTACAAACTCCAGCACGGATCACCCATTAGCATCACTGAGAGAACTCTGGGGCCTTGAACCACATGCAGACTGGGTGAGTCGTCTACACAGTGACCCATATTGCGAAAGTCAGAGAGAGGAGTGGTGCTTCCACCCCTCCGACTTGTGCGCCCGCCCCCACCCCCACCTGGAGGAAGAGGGTGGCACGGGGTGTGTCACTAGTGCTTAATCTGGCAATGTTTTCAACTTGTGGGTTTTTTTTTTTTAATTTTTTTTATTTTAGGAAACTTCTTTTAAAAAATGTTTTCTGTTTTGTATGTGTATGTGTATCCAGAAATGTCCATCCTCCAAGCTGGCCACCACTGTTCCCTGAATTTGGCAGTGCCTGTTGCTTGCAGCTGTCAGCATCCTGAAAACCATGAGGTGCCTTCAAAGTAGACTCTGTGGCCCAGCCGCGCAAGTGGCCTCCAGGACCCTGCCGCACGATGTCATTCTCTCCTTATTCTGAATCCTGTCTGGCTCTGATGCTGAGAAAAAGGACAAAGTCGGTGTGTCTGTCTGCGTGTGTGTGCATCTGTGCCTGTGTGTGTGTACTGAGTTTTGGTTTTTTTTGGAACCTTTTTTTCTTTTTTTAAGAAAAAAATGACCCTTGGATTACTAATACAGAGTTCAGCCCTCCTTTAGTCACTATAAAACGGACTCCATGTTTTCACACCACTCATGGTCTTCCAGGTTATAGATAAACTTTGTCCTATGTGTCTGGTTTGCGGGCACAGGGTCCCTCCCCAGGTTGTCTAGGGTCAGAGTAGAGGCAAAGAACTCACTGGTGCTCAGCCCGCCCTCGTGGTTTTTGATGTAGCGTTTATAGTTTTTCCTCAGGCACTGCCACGTGGTGGTGTACAGGATGAAGGCGAAGGATTTGAGCGCGATGGCGATGCTGACATACAGGTATCGGTAGACCACATTGTCGTAGAGGACGCAGGCGCCTTGCTCCCCACAGAACGTGCTCCAGAACAGGCAGGTGGAGTCGATGCCAGCCCCGAAGATGAGGGGTGGAGGGATGAAGCCTGTTACCGGGAAAAGAATGTTAAGGTTCTGGATCTGGTGGCCAGTGCTCCCCTGTTCCTGTCTCTGCCTAGCTTTTCTTATAGCACTGCTAGGCAAATATGTCTGACTCCGTGGCTCAAAGACATGCTCAGGAGGCAAAGCGCATGAGTTTGTGTCCCAGTTCTGCCTTTTTATTATGGTACAAATCTGAGCAAGTTATTTAAGCCCTCCTGCCTTAGTTTCCTCATCTGCAAAATGGGGATGATGATAATACTACAGTCTTCACCAGATGGCTGTGAAGACTAACTTTACACATAGAAAGCATCAGTCTGGCATGGTGGCTCACACCTGTAATTCCAGCACTTTGGGAGGCTGAAGCAGGTGGATCACCTGAGATCAGGAGTTTGAGACCAGCCTGGCCAACATGGTGAAACCCCGTCTCTACTAAAGAGACAACCTGGAATTTGCACTGTGGTACATGTTGGTGCACATCTGCAGTCCCAGCTACTTGGGAGACTGAGGCAGAAGAATTGCTTGAACCCAGGAGGCAGAGGTAGCAGTGAGCCAAGATCGTGCCACTGCACTTCAGCCTGGGCAACAAAGCAAGACTCCATCTCAAAAAAAAAAAAAAAAAAAAAAAAAGCATCTAGAACAGTGTGTACTGTGTCACTTTACCATGTAAAGTGAATGACAGCTGCTATTATCATCATCATCCTCTGCTGAGAGCCTGAGAAGGCCAAGACGGTCTTCCTTGAAGAGAAACATTCTTAGTTAGTGTCAGTGAAAGCAGCGTAGTCTCATAGAGGAAACTGCACAGCGCCGGCATACTGTGTGTGGTGTTCCATAGAGGAAACTGCAAAGCGCCGGCATACTGTGTGTGGTGTTCCACAGAGGAAACTGCAAAGCGCCGGCATACTGTGTGTGGTGTTCCACAGAGGAAACTGCAAAGCGCCGGCATACTGTGTGTGGTGTTCTACAGAGGAAACTGCAAAGCGCCGGCATACTGTGTGTGGTGTTCTACAGAGGAAACTGCAAAGCGCCGGCATACTGTGTGTGGTGTTCTTCTGTTTGAGGCTTTTAGGGCTGTTGTGCTCTTGAGTGCAGGCACCACAAATTGGACTTGAGTACATCTGTGTGTATACACATATAGTTTAAATGGAAAATATCTGCATATATACTGACAACTTCGCTTCCCCTGGATATTTAATATTCCCAGCTCAGAATGAGTTGGTAACCAGTTTTGAAACCCTCACGGTAGAGCATTTCCGGTACCTACAACCAGTCACCAAAAATGGCAGATGAGATGAAAACCGTTCCCCTTCCTTACTTCCGTTCCCTGTTCCTCTCTGTGTTTCTTTGCCTGCTGTTATCCGAGTTATCAGACCTGGCTGCCCATGACAATCATCATCCAGGGTGTCCCATCCCAGACCACTGAAATCAGAGCATTTGGTGTGCAGCACAGTCCTCAGCACCTTCACATTCCCAGGTGATTCTGAGTGAAGGGGGAGAGTGTCATCTGTACTATGGGAAAGTGACAGATGAGTCACTAATGCAAATTAACTGTTCAAAAAAACTGTCCCCTTGAGGCCAGAATAAAGTGCCAACCATCTTCAGTGACAGACTGCAGGAGGAGGAAGTGATCTCTGGAACTAGGTGTGGCCAACTCTGAGATCCCAGGGCCTCTATACCTCTGTCTGGAGTGTTCCTTGCAGAGCTAGTCCTAGAGCATCTGAATTTCATTTTGTATTAAGGAAGGTCCCTCTGAGATTTTGATGAGATCTAGACCCATAGCCCAGCAAAATGCACCTACCCATAAAATCAAACCTGTATCTCAGGGGGTTCATAGGCCCCTGAAGTCCATCCATGATTGCTGGAATAACAGCATGTGCATTATAAGCACAGCAGCACCTCCATTCTGTGGGGCCTCCAAAGGCAGTTGGGGAGAGAGGGAAGGCTTAATGAAGGAAGCAGCCCTTCCCCCGGTTTTAATGACATGCCTGGAATCGGGTGAGAGCGGGGCTTTGCTACCCTATGAGTGCTAATGAGCTTGGCAGAGCTCCAGGCTCTCGGCCCAGGTGCCTCTGTACTTCTCCTTGGAACTCTTCACCTCCGCTGCTTGATACCCCAAAGAGAAGCCCCGGAGAAGATTTCTGGTTGAAATCTCATTAAACTTCCCAAGCAGCTCGATTTAATAAATAAGCTCCAAGCTCAAAATCCCACACAACCTGTTTCCTTCTTTCCAGCTGCCAGGTTGGGCTGTGGTCCTGCCGAATGGAAGCGCATATTCGTAGCATTCCCTGTGATCCCAAAGGCTGCCCAGGTGTCTCAGCCCTTCCCCACCAACCCTGTGTGTTTTCCCTGCCCCCTAACAAGTGCCTTTTTTCATTTCACTCCAGTTGAAAGAGCCAACTGGAGGAACTGCCATGGCAACCGCATAATAGAAACTAAGCCACACACCACGTTATTTATGTAAAAAATGAAGATCTGGAGCCAGTGTGTATTACAGATGGACCTAGAGATAAATGGAACTAATGTGGCCTGTTTCTGTGGCACAGCAGGGCAAAGCAAATCCATTCACCTTTCTATCTCTGCACGGGGCATAATCATTATATTGTGATTAGCTCCCAAATGCTCCTCCCTCCTTGTGACCTTTCTTGAGGTCATTTCACTTTGTTCTAGCCACCCAACACCTGGTGACGGGGAGCCAAGGTTAGAGAGGACACCTCTAGTAAATGCTTTGCTGCTGGAAGGAACTGAGGGTACAGGTGTCCCTTGCTCTATAATGCATGGATACTTGCATACAAATTCCAGGTCGGTGCAAACCAGGTCATATTTTAAGCACATCAAAGGAAATTTGCAACATAAAGGAACCAAATTCGTTAATAATTGTTAAAACCAAAATATCCCCCCAAAATACCACTGTGCAACTCATTCATGTACCTGAGTGAGAATTCTTATAATACTTGGTTGTCTTCTAAGTAGGGCATACTGCTATGTGATAAATATGCCAATTATATCTTGCCTATTGTCAAGCTCCACTACCAGATGACAAAACCTCTAAACAACAATTTGAAAGCTAAGTACTCAGGAGGCCGATGGGAGGATCACTTGACCCCAGGAGTTCCAGGCTGCAGTGAGCCATGATCACGCCACTGCATTCCAGGCTAGGAGACAGAATGGGATCCTATCTCCAAAAAAAAAAAAAAAACCTACCAAAGTTTTTCATGCTATGCTCTGTTCAATATTTCAGAGTGCATTTGTGGTAGAGATGAAATAAATTTTTTTTTTTTTTGAGACAGAGTTTCGTTCTGTGGCCAGGCTGGAGTGCAGTGGCATGATCTCGGCTCACTACAACCTCCGCCTCCTGGGCTCAAGTGATTTTCCTGCCTCAGTCTCCCAAGTAGCTGGGACTACAGGTGCCTGCCACCACGCCCGGCTAATTTTTGTATTTTTAGTAGAGACGGGGTTTCACTATGTTGGCCAGGATGGTCTCGATCTCTTGACCTTGTGATCTGCCTGCCTCAGCCTCCCAAAGTGCTGGGATTACAGGCGTGAGCCACCGCACCCAGCTGAGATGAAAGAACTTTTAAGGTGCCAAAAGTCCTGGAGAAAGTCACTTGATCTTTCAATGTCTGTTTCTTCATCTTTAAAATGGAGTTAATACCACCCTGCCTGGTAAGGGCTAAGGTAAACACTACACAAATGAGGTGTGTGTGTGAGTGTTTCGCCAAGGGTCTGATCTTGCCATGCAACCAGAACTTTTGCCACCTTATTCATGTTAGATAGGGGATTTGGGGTGGTATTTTAGAATAAACTCTAGGTTGAGTACCTTAAGTATAACCTTTGTGAGATTCCTTTTATACTTCTGAATAGTGAAAATATTGGCTTTCTTTTCCATCAAATTCATCTTTTCCTTTTTATTCACTTAAAATTCTTTCCCAAAGGGGAGGTCTAGCTATCAGGCCCTAAACTGCAGGTGTGCGGACAATACCAGAGACGAACGGACTGCATCTTTTTTGTTAGAGGCCTCTGCCATTCTGGAACTCACCTGATGAGTCACAGAAGGGAGTTCCACCTTGGTGACTCATTTTCACGCCCAGCCCCACATCCTTATATGTTCGTCACTCAGTTGGACCAAACAAAAACTCAGGCAGTCCCTGCAAGGAGCTGGTTCCCCATAGACAAATGGGAGACTGTGACAGTGTGACTGGCAACTGTCATGCTAAGTAGTATCATTAACTACCCCCTACCCAGGACTGTATAGAGTGCTCCACATCCATTATGCGTCCCCTCCATAACCACTCCCCCTGCCCCACCTTATTTCACATACAAATAAACTGAGAGTGAGATTATTTGTTCCAGGTTTGATATTTCAAAATTCCAAACCCAATAATCTCCTTCCTTCTAATTCAGACTTTGTTGATTTGAGAAGACTTTAGAGCTCTTATTGGGGATTTCCAGGGATACAGAGAACATTTTATTTACCCTTTTGCTAAGCTCCTGGCGTAACTGGCTTGAAGAAGCCTGGTTTTGAAGTGTGCAGAGGGTGAAACACACAGGGGGTTTGATCTTTGCAAAGCGGGCAGCCCTTCCTTCTCTGGGGTTGCTAATACATAGAGAAGGCTGGGAGACTTATTTTGTAAACAAACTCAGTATTTCGCTGGACACCTGAGGCAGTAATAGCAGATACTATGCTTGTCAGCAGGAAGAGACACGGAGTTGTCATCGTGGTAGGCTTTGATGTGAACTCAGACAGGGAGTTCACATCTGGAGTTTTGGTGACTGGGAGGAAATGCAAATTTGTGAACCAGAGACAGCTGATCTTGGATTCTAATTCCGCCACTTGGGAACTGTGTGATTCACACAACTTGAGTGAATCTCAGTTTCACTGTTTATACAATGGGCACGATCATACCTTCAGGCAGAGCTTTTGTAAAGAATCAATGGGATGCCATTTGAGAAAGCCCTCACAGGGTGGGCGCTCCAAAAATCTGGTTCCCTTGCTGCTGTTTGGCTTTTGTTCCGTGTTCAGGAACTCTTTTGGGTAAATGAAAATCCGTCCTAAGTTCACCACCTCTAGAGAAAGAGTTGTAGAAAACCTTTCAAGCTGTGATTCAGTGAATAATAACCCCCACTGGCAAGAATTCTGTACATGTACCCGGGAGGCTGAGGCAGGAGAATCGCTTGAACCTGGGAGGCAGAGATTGCAGTGAGCCAAGATCACACTATTGCACTCCATCCTGCGTGACAGACTGAGACTGGTCTCAAAAAAAAAAAAAAAAATTTCTCCACATCATCATAAGTTTTAGAGGATAATCAGGTGTGTCCAGAAGGGAGGACAAGGGGGGGGGCCAGGTGTACTTTAGTGTCCTCTCTGGTTTTGAGCACCTTCACTCTGTTAAGTCCTTAGTTACAAGGGAGCTTGATGATGGTGGTGTATTTCTTTAGTAACTGTGTCTTTTGAAGAAATGCTGTCTTCCCCAAAGCCTGCAAGAGCAGTTCTCTCTCTTTTTTTTATCTTGTCTTCTCCCTAGGTCCTCTGGGCAGGAACTTGTGGATGAAGCAGGTGTTAATAGGGTTCCATCACTGGGGCACTGGGAACCCACCCTGTGCTGAGGAAGGTATGTGCAGGCTCAATGCTGTTGCCCGCTATTAGAGGGAATATTAAAAGGACTGAATCTTACTATTACACTCTGGCTTAAATTGCAGCTATATATATTTCAATGCATAACTTGCTGCACAGTTTAAGAACACTGTCTCTGTTTTCCTGAAATCTATTAACAGAGATTAAACCTCAGGGCCTTATATATTGGCTATTTAATTTACTCTCTTAGTTGAAATGGCTGGGCCTATTTATATTCCTTGGTCTAAACTTAAAAGGTGAACTGAAAGGCTTTTGTAAGAAAAATAAGTTCAAATTCCTTTACGGGACAAAATGGAAGCTGAAAATTACGGCCACTTACATTTAAAAAGATATCTGTTTCTCTCTGGCTTACCTGCCAAGACTTGAATTCACCATGGAATCTCTATTCAACCTGGTGGAATTACTGTTATGTCCAGCACCAGCTAGAAAGGGAGATGCTGAAAAGTGTATTCTCCTGGAAGGTTTAATGAGTTCTCTGCTTCAGCAATGCCAAGAAAGAATCTGGGCTGTTTTCCAGTGATACCTGACATTTACTTTTCTTAAACTGGAGAGTCTGCAGGAGCTACTATGTTCTCCTTTCATTCCTGGACCCCTTGTTAAAGTTGGTAAGGCCCAGAGAGCTTAAATAATCTGCCACATGGTCAGGAAAGGCAGAGCTAGGCTCAAGAGCAGGTGTGACTGACTTTAGAGGGCCCATGGTAAATACTGGATGTCATCTCAGTACAGGTAAGGGTGGCAGATCATGGGTGGTGCAGGTACATCAGGAGGTGAGGTCCACTGCTGACAGAGCCAGGGCACATGGCTGGCGCCTAACATATGTTCGCCGAATGAACAATTAAAAGTGTAGGCAAGTGGAAGGGGTCTTCCATGCATCCCACCGCCGTATCTCACTCCCTCTCATCTCTCACCTGGGGCCCCTGGGCATGCTGTGCTTGCTTCTTCCAAAGCAGCACTTAACACGTTCATTTTTCCACTTGCCTATAAACTTTGGCATATGCAAGACGATGCTCACAGCAGGAACTCAACAAATGTCTGACAAGCCACAGCAGGAGTGTCTAGGATGTACTTTTCCAGAGTAGTTCACAAATCACCCCAGACCAAGGACAATCTGCTCAGGAATGACCCCTGCCTACAGAAATGCACCCCGAGGGCCTTCCCTATGCTTTTGGCTAGGCGGGCAGGCTGGAAAATTAAGAGGCAGGGTCAGTGTATGTGGGGAGTTTGTAGTGGTATTGTGGAAGCTAAGCTCATCCCTAATGACACCCTGAGACACTTGATCTATTGTTTCTTATTCTATTAAAGGCTTCTCCATAGCCTCAGTCCCAGGGGCTCCAAACCTCAGCCTCATCTTGAGCTTTCATTGCTTCTCTTTTGCTTTCACTTAGGTCGGTTGGGTTGGGGGGATCTCAATAGATGCTGTCTCTTATGTGGCTCCCATCTGTCTTTACCGTTCAAACCCACTGCTTTGCTGGTGGTCAGCTTCTCACTTCAATGCTTTTGATGGGTTATCCTGCATCCTGCTAAACCTCATGCCCTGCTCACCTGCTGCTCTACCTAAAGCAGAATTCTGAATGTACATTCACTCTCCCATCTGAAACCCCCATTTGCTCCACACTGGCAACTACTCAGCCAAGTATAATTTCTCCCTTTGAAAATCAAGGCCCTCTGTAACTCTTCCAACCCCACACCTTCCCCACACTTGCTTTGTTCTCCTACTGCAGCCGCCAGAGGCAGGATATTGGCACCTACTTATCTGTGCACCCTGAGCAGCCCCTAGACAGCACCTTGGATGTGGAAGAGTCTCAGCACATGTATGTTTCCAATAATTTAATTTGGTGTAACGCCCTGGCAAGCAGTGGCCCCAGGAACAAGATTCTAGACCAACTCAGGAGCAGAGAGTTTGCCCACAGCCTGGAGAGAAAAGGAGTAGCCAAGACACCTGCAGAAGAATAAAGGAGGATGGACTCAATTATACCAGGAATTCTGCTATGAGTAGATCGTTCAGTTTACTCTGAATTCACTGACCCTTCTCCAGCTCAGTGTCTTCCTCCCCTACTCAACAACATAAACTTGTCCATGTGAGCCTTTCATTAACTCACTCTCAACATCCACGCTCTTGACCCCTGTCCCTCTCTGGCCAGCAACACCCTGGGCTTTGTCATTGGTCAGAACTGCTCCACTTCCATAATCTCGAAGTCAGACAATGAGGCTTTGGCCACATCCTCCAGTTCTTTTTCCATTATTTATTACAACTAGTTTTTACAGTTCCTGTATCTTTGTCCTCTCTCCTTTCTCCCATCTCAGCCCTACTTTGATCATCACCCTCAGCTTCTTTGGCTCCACTCTCCTGCCACACTCCTGCTTCTACTCCAGGGTGCTGGGGCCACTCCCAGAGCCCCACTGACCAGTACACCTCTGCAGCCCTGCCCTGGCCCTTTCTACCAACTCCTTGCTCTTGGTGGGTAAAGCAACAAGGGAGACCGATCTCACATTCATTTCTAGCTCCTGCCCTCTTCACTTACACCCAAGTGTCTGGAAAGAGGGTCTTCCTGTTCCCCTATCCCATTTCCTCACTCTGACCCATGAGGGTGGTGCATCAAAGATGGCCCCCTCATTGTCCAGTATGGCAGACACTGGCCACATCCACCTACTTATGTGAAAACTAATAAAATTAAAGTAGGCTACAGAAGCCACATTTCAAGTGTGCAACAGCACCTGTGGTACAGACAGAGAACATTTCCATCATCACAGAACGTTCCACTGGAGAGCGCTGGTCTACACCACTCCCAACTTGCTCTACATCCTTTCTTCCTGTCTCATAAATAATTCCCCTGTTCACCACATTACCCAAGACTTTCTTAGGAGTGGGCACTGTGGGTGCCCCTTTCTAAGACTCCAGTTCTTATGCTTCCACTTGGAGAATAATGCATAATGCAGATTCCTCCTTTTATTTCTCAACCCTACCCCTCTCCCCATCCTGCGAGCACCATCTCGGCACGAGCCTCTGTCATTCACTTCATTACAGCAGCAACTTCTTCAGCCATGTTCTTATTCTCCACATGGCAGACAAGCCCTTTCTAAAATACACAGTGGATCTTGTCACTCTCTGGTTAAAGCCCATCAACAACTTTCATTTGCTTCCCAGGTTCAAGGGATTCTTCTGCCTCACCCTCCCAAGATAAAGGTCAAATGCAGCAACAGGGCAGAAGCCCTTCCTGACCAAGTTCCTGATCCACTACCCTCTCCAGCTCCATCTTCTTCTGTCCCCCCTTTCCCCCCAGTCTGGGCCTTCTGCAGCCCCCAAACATGCTGGGACCTTTGTTCATCCCCGGGCTTTTACCCCGTAAGTCCTTCTCCCTGCTCATCTGTATGACTCTTACTCCTTCCCCAGGGCTGAGCATAGACATCACATCCTTTCCAAACCCACTGCTCCCATCCCAAGGCAAGATTAGGAGGCCCTTCTACATATTCCTGTTGCACCTGTGCCAACTCGAATCTTGTCACACTAACCTGTGATGTCCCCATTGTATCCCCATTGCCCTTGCTAGGCCAGCAAAAAAGTTGATGATGTCACAGGATCTGATGTCTTTGCCGGCCTTCACATTAACAATAATGGTGGTTAATCTTACTGGGTCCTGCAAGAAAGGGAATTAGGCCAAATGCTAAGACTTCTTCAATGAGCTGCTTTCAACTGAAAGATGAAGCTGTGTCATAGTCTTCTAGAGCAGGGTTTTCCAGCCTCTAATTGGAGACTCATAAGGGGCAATAAAATCAATAGGGTGGGTCACAACCAACTTTTTTAAAAGCATGTAATAGACTAGAATAGAAAATGTCAGAATGTGTCATACCTATTACAGTGAGTATTTTTTCATGATTTTTTTTTTTTGTTTGTTTCAGCTGTATCTAGGCATAGGCATGTGCGTACTGGGCCATAATGCAAAACTTGTCATCTCTTGCTCTAGATTACAGTTGCAGAAGTTGAAAAACACTATTCTAGGTAATACCTGGTTGATTATTCCTGGGGCAGACATACAGATATTGAAACTGCTTTACAGCAGTGTATGATGATTTTAACAGTATCATATGCCTCATAATGTTCACTTTTGCTTTCAACTATCCTACAATTTTCATTAACTTTTCAGAAATACCTTGCAAATTGTTTTTCATCTTGTGCTATCAAAAAAATGTTCTGCCAGTTGCATTGAGTCCTTAGTATCTGTCTAGAGGTGCAGAGATCTCCATAGCAACTCCACAGATGAGGAGGGTGGGCTCTTACCTTCCCTGGCCAGCCCCAGAGGACTCGTAATGGCAGAGCTGAGGTCACTTACCTGGGGATGGTTCATGGCTTAGAACACAATAGGTTTTCAATAAACATTAGCTTCTTGAACAAATGCATATGTGGAATGGCTTTACCATTTGCAAAAATTAGGGTGTCAATGTGCCAGTTAATATTACACATCCACCTATCGATCCACCCCACACTGCAGTGAGAGCAGGGGTAAAATATATGCAGACTGCACCCTCCCACTGATAGGAAAAAATCAGCACGATCATAACTCTGCCTTGGTATTTCTGCATGCTACTACAGCTTCCCAGGAAGGCCCAAATGCTTTACTTTGAATTAGCGCTGAACTTGTTTTAATTGGGGCATCTTCACACCTAGAGCACTTCTCTTTTCCATGACTTAGACTTAGGACAATGCCATTTGAGTTCCCATGTATATACCAAGGAACATGGATTGATAGTGGTTGAGAGCATTCTGAGGTCTTCTACCAGGCACAGAGGGAATGATCACAGATTGATAGAAAGTTTTTGCTATAGACGGAGAAGGAAGGTGAGGAGAGACATATGCTATGTATTTGCCATTCCCCAGGGAGGACCTTAATGGATCTAAAGGTTAATATTTTTCTTTCATATATCGGTATATAAAAACTAATCTCATAAAAGTAACAGACATTTCATTCAAAACTTTAAAACAAATTTAGAAAATATAACCTTATTACTCAAAGATAATAGCTGATACTCTTCTGATAAAATGGAAAAATATTGCAAAAGTTATTACATTACAGACCTGTTTTTCCCCTTCCCCCATCACATGCCCTTTCTAAGTCTATATTTTTCTTTCCAGAATTTTAAAGGGGAACATAAATCCTACTGCGATTATAGACCATAACTGATTTAACTAATTGTCTGCTGTTGGGCTTTTGGGTTGCTGCCAATTTTCCACTTTTACAAACATTTCTATAGCTAGGTATTTGTGCTTATCCACGATTATATACGTGGAATGAGGAATTTTATTTCTACTCTAAAAATACAGGTCATGGTTGTTTTCCTTTCTACATTCAGATGCCACTTAAAGTCCACTGGGGAAGGTGACTGTCCTATTATTCAAGGAAAAAAGTTATCTTGATCTTGGCCTTAACAAAAGAATGCTCATAAAGCAACGGTGTGGTATGGCAAGAGAAAGGTAGGCATAGCTGGGAACCAGGCCCAGCGTCAGCCCAGCCAGTGCCCAGGAAGGACCTTGGGTGGTGAACCATGGACTATCTCATCTTCCTTTTGCCTATCTTAAAAACAAGAGGGTCAGACTTTCTTCCTTCTTTCCATACCAAATCTGGAAACGTGGGCCCTATAGCATGAAGGTCACATTTGCCCCATCCCAGAAATTCAAGGTAAACAAACTAAGTCAGTTTGGAAAAATTTAAAGGATGCAAAGTTTCCATTTTCAAGGCATTGTGAGAACGCCTCTCTCTCCCAGCTGGCGGCCCCATAAATGAAGCATTTCACAAGCTGCTCATGGCTTGCTTAATGAAGATGCCAAATTACACCACCAGATTTTTTTCCCCTTTGGTGCCATCTCTTTTCCTCCTTATGCCGATGAGAATTCACGGTGGCGTGAAGATAAGAGTTGGTATAAATGAGAACTTCGTGATATCGAGGCAGTGTCTGAGTTTATCTCTGACCAAAATTTTGAGACTTAAAATTTCTTATTTACTAATAATTAAACTGCAAAGAAAAAAGAGACAGACCTAGGAAATGGGATAATTTGACTGACAGTTACTCACCTAGTAATAAGCATCCAATTCATTATTGAGGAAATAAAGAGATAATACATACCCAACAAACGAAGGAGGAGAAAAAGAACTCCCAAAGCGTAAGACTTGAGTTCAGGGCTGACTGTCCTACGTGCAAAGAGATGAAGAGAAAAAAAAAACCAGATTTTTATCATTCCCCTGTAATTAACAGACCCCAGAGTCATTTGCTGCTGTCCATCAGAGCTCTTCTTTAGAAAATTACTAATAGTGTCTTTTTTAAAATTACTAATAGTGTCTTTTTTTTTTTCTGCCTAAAGTCTGAAAAATAACTGCAACTGTGGTGCCAAGATAAGTTTAGGAATTTAACAGTGTTTTTTAATAACTGGAGCTAACCTTGTCATTCGAAGGACAGAATGCAAATTTGGTCATAAAACCTGCGTTTAAAGACATGTTGGTTTTGCTGAGATCAGGAAGCATCTTAAGTGGGTGGGGTACACGTATGGGGGGGAAAACATCAACCGAGAAAATAATTCCCCTTATCCTTCACAAACAAGCTGAAACCATGAGCACCTTTACCATTCTCCAGTCATTTTGTGAAATCCACCAGATTAGCATGGTTAGACACCCTGGATGGACCATTTGGGAAATAATCCACTTAGCATGTTCCAGCACTGTGATGGTTAATATTGAGTGGCAACTTGATTGAAGGATGCAAAGTATTGATCCTGGGTGTGTCTGTGAGGGTGTTGCCACAGGAGATTAACATTTGAGTGAGTCAGTGGGGTGGGAAAGGCAGACCCAGCCTCAATCTGGGTGGGCACCATCTAATTAGCTGCCAGCACAGCTAGAATATAAAGCAGGCAGAAAAACATGAAAAGACCAGATGGGCCTAGCCTTCCAACCTACATCTTTCTCCCTTGCTGGACCCCTTCTGCCCTCGAACATTGGACTCCTAGTTCTTCAGTTTGGGACCCAGACAGTACAGGTAAGTCATCCCAGGGCAGCAGGTCATGACTTTCATTGAGCGATGGGGACGTGACTCTGGCTGGTTGAGTTAGACACCAGTACAACATCCATGATGAGTCCAGTGCCTCTGGACAGAAACACAGTCAGCACCCTTTAGAACGTGCACGTTACAAAATCCAAGTTCTTCAAAGCTATTATCAGCTCCATGTCTCCGGTTTTTGCACTTTCATTTGAAAGCACTGACTTGAAAGACAGACACATAAATAGAGACAAATTCTCCTTATCAAGAAAGCACACTGGTATAATGAGTTAGAATATTTATCACCTGAAATTTGATTTCCTTTCAGCTATCATATGTCACTAGGAACAAAGTGAGCAAGGTGCTAAGATCTCCCTTCATATCCTGTTGGGAAATTGCTTCCTATGAGAAGAAGAATCCTTCTTGGCTTGAGTCATGAAGAAACGGGGAGGGCTCCGTGTGAACACTATTGAAAGCTCTGGACAACGCTGGGAGGGAGTCTTAGTTCTAAAGGTACTAGCTGGGTGACCTTGAGAACACTGCCTAATTTCTCTCGGAGCCCAGCGTGGGGCCTAAGAGGGGCTGGGCATCAGCTTTCAACCTCGCTTCCAGATGTTCTGAGCACTGTTGTTGGGATGGTCCTGTTTGGCATGACAGTGGGTCCATTCTTCTGGGAGGGGCAAGGGCTGGTGCACATCTGTGCCCCTGTGCCAGCCTGAGACATCTGTGATGGCAAATCAGACTAGGAAGGTGATGGAATAAAACTGTGTCTTGGACCTCTCAATATGCACAATGCATAGCATGCGCTTCCAGCACAGCGTGGAGTTACAAGCCTAGGTCATTTAGGCCATCTGTGGCTGATTAATTTAGAGGGAATCAAATATTTCCAGCAAAGCTCCAAGAGCTGTTTATCAAGCTGAGATCTGGAAGTGATTAAGAATTTCAACAAACTTTCCATGTTTGGTAGTCACCACTAGTCAGCGTCTAGAGGCTGGGTTTTTGCAGAGGAGTCGTGGGGCAAGCTAATAAGAGACTAGTCATTTTTCATGCTTCTCCAATGCCTTTAGTGTATGAATATCACAATATAACTTCACGAAAACGTCTAATAATGAAAAATAAACTACTCATAAGGCAGCCACCTAAAACCTATACATGAGATCTGATGGGTTTTGTCCAAATGCATATTATAATCATCTTCTCTAAATAGTTTTAAATTCAATAGTTCATTTCATAAACACTTTCACATTCTTAAGAATTTTCATTATTCCATGGAGCTGCAGTGCCATAATTTAACTCACTATTCCAATTCAGGTTTTTCTGCTATTATAGTTAACGTTGTAATAAAAATTTGTCTGCATTGAGCTCTTTCTTTTTTTCTTCTTGTAAAGGAGTACTTTTTTAAGATAAATGGCAAGGGGTAGGGTTACTGAATAAAAGGGTCTGAATATTTGTATGGCTCTTGACGCACACTGTCATATTGCTTTTTTGAAAGGAGTGATAGCCTTTTCCCATGCCACCAGCAATTTGTGATTTTGTCAGTTTTGCCACAGCCTTGCAAGCACTGGGTGTCAATTTTTAAAATTTATTTTTCAAACTTAGTAAGTATAAAATGGTAATTTGCTATTATACCCTAATGCTCTGCACATTCGCAAGGCCTTGCTAATGACGTTCTAGGTAACATTAGTACTTGTAAAAATCCTCTTCCTTGGGAATTCATAATAAAGATGAGGAAATGTGGTTGGCAAAGTGAGAGAGAAGCTGGATAAAGTAGAGGTGAGGTGCATGGACACTGGGTACTTCCATGCGTTTCATTCCTACTTTTATTTCCAGCCTTTGCTATTGAATCTGTTCACTTGGATAACTGCATCCCAATTAGGCAAGTCTGTCTTTTCTCCCCTCTGAGACAGAGTCTTGCTCTGTCAGTCACCCAGGCTGGAGTGCGGTGGTATGACCTCAGCTCACTGCAACTTCCGCCTCCTGGGTCTAAGCAATTCTCCTGCCTCAGCCTCCCAAGTGGCTGGGATTACAAGCATGTGCCAACACGCCCTGCTACTTTTTGTAGAGAAGAGGTTTCTCCATGTTGGCTAGGCTGGTCTCAAACCCCTGGGCTCAAGCGATCCTCCAGCCTTGGCCTCCCAAAGTGCTGGGATTACAGGCATGAGCCACCATGCCCAGCTGATGAGTCTTTGTGTAGAGTACCTTCCCCTGATTCAGATGAATGGCAGCCTATGTGTTAGTTCACTTCTGGGTTTCCAACACAAATCTAGGTAACTCTGCAAATGATAAAAGTTACTCAGAATATTACTAATGGCTCATCTTTCTTTGAGGCACTTCACCTATCCCCAGGACAGGTCCCCAGAGACAGGTAACAATAGAATTTCGGTTGGCTCTCTCCAGCAACCTCTTTGTACAAGAATGGTCACTGCTCACCTGCCGTGAGCCCTGCTGCACAATAACCCGTCAAGTCTCTATGTGTTTGCACACACATGGTCTCAGTGGGTCCTGCTCCACTGCAGGAGGCAGGCAGGATGGGTCATATCACCCCCAGTTACAGATTCAGGAGCAAGTCTAGGGGGAAAATGCCCACGGTCATATGGCTAAGCAGTGGCAGGGTGGTGGGGGCTGGGCACTGACGCCACTTTCATTTTCCTCCAACGAGGCTGCGTCCTGTAAGGCTCAATGCAGGATCCTTTTCAAAACTGCCTGCAGGCTCTATTTCTGGGAGAACATGAAAGTGCTGTCTTCTCCCCCATGCCCTGCCTTCTTCTCTTGGTGGGAGGTCCCTATCAAACATAATTGATTCCTATCAGCCTAGAGAAGCTGCGCTCCTTGCTGTGGCCCTAGCTCACCTGGTTCGAGAGATTCCTGTTGTCTGAAGCTCTGGTCCCTAGGAGGCCTGCAGATGAACACCAGGTGGAAAGGAGGAGAGGCGGGGCTGTGCCGAGGGCTTACCTGATGAGGATGATGACTGAGGGTGTCTGTGCCATGGCACCGATCAGGCTGCAGATACACATCACACAGAGGAAAGTGAGGAAGGCCTCTTGGCACCCAGGACTGGGGCATTTTCCAGGAACCACGGTTGCGTTCTCAGCAGGGACGGTGGTGAGGCACGCACAGCCCGTGAGATTCTGAAAGGGAAGCGTTCAGCCCTTTTATCTGGGGGTACTTCCGGTTTCCAAAGGCAAAGCCATCCATCAGCTGAATCTGTCACAGCCTAATTACACATTCTGTGGCATTCCATTAATTAGGCCTGAATAAACGAGTTAGTTAGCTTTTTTAAGGAGGCTGCAAAACACACATAAATAAAGGAATATTTACGGGGAGGAGAGCTGATTTCTCTGTCTCTTGTGTGTTTCATTTCCATTCTCAAGAATCCCTCAGTAAGCTGAACCACAGATAAATGTGTCCCCCCCAATACAATTAGAGAGGAAATTGCGCTTCCACAATATGATAAAACGTTGCCAAATTAACATTGTAATTACTTGCCAATTTGTCCTCTCTTTTATGCAGTTATAATTACACTGAAGTGTATTAAAAGAAGTAAATCAGGTAACCCGCATATTGTTGCTGGTGGAGTGCCCAACACGGCACTTGGAACAAAGGCTGCACGCTGTCACGCGTGAAGTCACCGCGTCTGCAAGGCTGGGCGAGGGACAGCTGATGGAAAGTTCTCTGGAGGCTGAGGAAGCAAAGGGGGCTAAGAGATGCAGGAGCTTGGAGCAGCTCGTGGGGAGCAGAGCTAAAACCCAACAAGATAGATACATTTATTAATATATGATCAGAGAGAAGAAAGAAAAGTGACTGCATTTCATTTGATCTTCGGGGTGGATTCTAGCCCAGCTGCCTGTTGCAGACAGGGTCCTCTCCCCCACTCACTCCAGGAATTTCTGATGGCAAAGGGAGGAGCAGGGGCTGGGAGAGGCAGTGCCCGGTGCCAAGCCAATTAAGGTTCCATAATAATAGTGCAGAGGCCTTTAATGAATACAAAGTGAAAACAATCATAAATGATTCATTGCTTTTCCTTCCAGGACTGCTTGGCTTTCAGAGCACATGCCCAGGTAAATCCTCCTGAGGGTCAAATAAATCCCCTCTGGCTTTTACAGTTCTCCTCCTCTGGTCCTCCCCCTCTCCCCACAGAACACAGAGATAGGGTTTTCTGATCCCACTAAGCTATATGGGATGGTTTCAGGGGTGTCTGAAAGTGTTCATGTGCCCCAAACCCAACAGGGTCAGTCTGTATCGCTGTGCCCCCAACAGGGGCTTTTATTCATGGGGGAAGGAATGGGGGCAGACGTACGCTGGGGCTCCACCCTTCCCCTCAGTGTCTGCCCAGAGCAGGTGCCTTTGTGAAAATGGTTCAGTTAGGGTACCCAGGGGCATTTATTGTAATTCCCAGAAGATCCCGAGGCCCCGCCCCTCTGTTCCTTCTCATGTACCTCTGCCTAGAGACTTTTTAGCTCTTTGTCAAAACCCAGCTCAGATACTGCCTCCCTTCTCAGAACCTCACCTCACTGGGCACATCCCAGCCTCCTTCCAAGTCCTGCAGGGCCCTTTTCAAGGGTCGCTCCACCCTACAGCAGAGACCTTTACATGCCTCCTGGAGGAGACAAGAACCTCGGGACAAGACCTATGTCTTTTGCATTCTTTCCCTAGCATCTTTTCCTAGCGCAGAGCTGAGACGTAGATGAAACTAAGCATACAGCTTTAGAATACACATGAGAACGAACCTTCCTCACTTTTATTAGGAAGCAAGACTTCTCCCCAACTTTCACTTAAAATGCCACTCCTCCTCTTCCCAGGAGAGGAAACTGCCCACTCCTCCCCAGCATCACAGCCAAACTTTTCTAGCTATTTAGCTCACCACCTGCATTTCCTTTTCTCCCACGCTCTCAGCTGACTCTGACTGGCTTCTGTTTCCACACGCATGAATCCGGTGGGGCTAAGCTCTTCAGTGGGCTCCATATCCCAGGCCCACCATGCATTTTTCTCTCCCCGGAGCTCCCAGGAGCACAGGCCCCTTGCTCACTACTCATCACTCCCTTGTTTGGCTTCAAAGCTCCACTCTACCTGTTTCCCTGGTCCTCCTCTGGTCACTCGCTTTCCATCTTTGTTGCTGGTACCTTCTCCTCTTTCCCACCTGCTCTGGACTTTCTTCATCTGTACTCTTGCCCCAGCTCTCCTTCCTTCATTTTACCATCTCTGCATTTGATCACATCTCTCCCAAATTTAATCATCTTTAGCCCAGATCCTTCCCAAGACTCATGAGCACGGGTGAGGCATCAAAACTGCCTCCAGGAACGAGTGCCGGTGCTGGCTTCTGTGCTTTCAGCTTGGCACTACTGTCCCGCCTAAGGCTGGAAAGTATCTCCCCCGAATTCGCTTTCCTGCAAGGACGGGAGCTGGACAAGAAGGAAACCTGGGAGAGACTCAGAAGGCAGGAGTTGTAGGACACCAGCATATGCCACCTTGCGGTATGCCCCTTTTGCATAAAGAATATTTTGAGCTGATTATTTTGAGAAACCACAGACACAGGCAGAACCTCTGACAACAGAAGTTACCGTTGCGTAAGGAAAATTACATTTACAAAGGAAATCTCCATTTGTAAGGGTGGTTCCTCTCTGTACCAGAGATAAAGGAATGACTGAATCCCTAGAGACTATCATCAATCTAGAAGACACTGACTTAAGCTTGCATAACAAATGTTACTCTTTTTTAAGGTGCTTTATCTGGGCATCTCCTCATAACTGGCCTTCCCCACACCCTTCTTTCTCTGTTTCCCTGGACCATGGTATTCAAGCCTGAAGTCAAAGCCACGTCTCTGAGATGCTCTCATTTCTCTGGCTATCTCCTGTGTATACATCATGTATATGTGTTTCTAAACCTTTGTTTTCCTCCTGTTAATCTGTCTTAGGTTACAGGGGTCTGTCCCAACTGGGAACTGTGAAGGGTAAAGAGAAAATTATGTATTCCTCTTCTACAAAGGGAAGCTGAGGCCATTTCTCCCAGAAGGTCACACGGTCAGGCATAAGGACGGACACACAGACGCGCCCGGAAGGCGCCGACCTGTCCCAGCACTCCCGACTTGGCGCCGCCTTCTTTTCTGCCTACCCTGCTGACCAGTGGAGGCGCCATGCCCACCTCTGGTGACCTGGCTGCTGCAGGCCACGTGGCTCCCCACATCGCAGAGTGCCCATCAGATCTCCTGAGCAGCCATGCCGCACAGCTTCCTGGGATGTTCCCCTGAGCTCTGACTCACCCACCTGTGCCAGGGGCGTCTAGTGAGGAAATGCTGCTTTGCTTCTTCCTCTTACTTCAAAACACTGTTTTCCTGACAGTTACGCAGCCCCAGCCCCAGCTCCAGCTCCAAACTCCTTTCCCTCCACCTCTTGCCTTAGTAACGGCACCCTATTGACTATAAAAGTAATGACAAAAACCACAATTTTGCACCAACTTAACAAAAACCAGGAGGTAATTCTGAATCCCCCGCTCACATACCTACATCAAATCCATCTTCCCCCTGACACTAAAGCTAATGAAGACAGAGACCACTGTGGCCGTATTCCCTAATTTACCCAGCCATCCAGGACAGGGCTTGGCTCACAAGTGGGATTTTATATACATATATATAATATATATATATATTTATATATATTATATATATTATATATATATTATATATATTATATATATATAATATATATATTATATATATTATATAATATATATATTATATATATTATATAATATATATATGTATGTTGACTGAGTGAACACCTAAGTTCTGTTCATTTTGCCATGTCCTAAATCTGTCTCAAACCCTGCCCTAGTTCAAACTACTTGCAACCATCCATCTTTGATTACTGCAGTGGTCTGTGAGGAAAAAGATTTGGGACTGAAGTTCTTAGAACCATATGGACTCAAAGAGTAGTTAGGCGTAAATGAAAAATGGGCCCCTTGTGGGTGGCTGTGGTCTTGTTTGGCTAAGTACCCCAGGAATCCCTCAATTCCAGTACCCCCATATCACATTCCTGAGTGTTCCTGAGAGGCTACATACTTGTAGCACGCAGTCTCTCAGGAATGTGATATGGGCACTGGAGTTGAGTGACTGACGCCAGAACCCTCTGAATGAGCCATGTGATCGGTGAGCTTTCTTTGGTTTAACAAGTCATCTGCAATTGCTGCCTGTGTCTTGGTCTTATTTTTGCCCATACCTAGGCTATGGCTCGATTATATTATATTTACCATAAAAGAGGAAACTGGCCTCTCTCTGCCCTAAAAAGTGTTAAATCCCTCCTGAAATGGATCCTCTGATCATGGCACTCATGGAATGGGATAAAATGAGACATCTTTATCTCAGGCTACAGCTGGCACGGTGCCTGCACAGCCCCATCCGGGTGAGCTAAATGTGTCCTTGTCTATGTTCATGTTAATGAGGCGAGCAGACAGCAGGGTTAAGCTGCCACAGGATTTGCAGCCGAAACAAAGGGTAGCAGTGCGTGGTTTGAATGTTCGGTGTCCCTTGACCCAAGAATCCATATGTTGAAAAATAATCACCAATGTGATACTATTACAAGGTGGGGGTTCTTCAGGAGGTGATTAGGTCACGAGGGTAGAGGACTCATGAATGGGATTAGTGTCCTTACAGAAGAGGCCCCAGAGAACTGCCTTGCCCCTCCCACCACATGAAGACACAGCTAGAGGGTGCCATCTATGAAAAGGAAGCAGGCCTTCATCAGATGTCAGATCCATCAGCAGTTTAATATTGGACTTCCCAGCCTCCAGAGCTGCGATAAATGTGTTGTTTATAAGCCATGCACTTTAAAGTGTTTTGATATAGCAGCCAAAATGGGCCAAGGTAGCCCCATGCTGAATAGACAGGAATGGGATGATTTAGGGTTAATGACAGAAGAAGAAAAGCCAGAGACCGGCACAAGACCAATGAAAATGTCTGTTTGTTGGTGTCCAAGAGGAAAAGCTGGAAATGGATGGATCTCTCCTAAAGGTTCTAGGCAAATCTGTATTTATTTATTCAGATTTAATTTATTCATAGCTGTGAGAGAGGCTGGGTAGGAGATGCCAGAGTGATCTGTGCAAGGACTTGGATGGGTTTCCTTTTCCATCCAATGAGTCAATCCACCAGGATGGGCTGGGTGGTCCCACACATGGGGAGCAGGCTGGGGCAGCCCTGCAACCTCTCCAGCAGGGGATCCAAGGGAAAATGCTGCAGTTGTGGTCAGATGGCAAGGGGTAGGAAGCTCCTTTACTGGGCTTGTGTGACATAAGAGCCCAGATTTGTCCAACGTTGTGCTAAGGGAGATGGGTGCATAAGGTCGTGAGGCTGTTAAGGAGGGATCTTCCACTCAGATGTCCGAGTGTGGTAGGAAGAACTGCAGATGAGGACTTAGGTAGTTTCACCTTTCCCAGAGTGCAGAGAGATGATTTCCAAAAATGGGGTTTTCAACTTTGATGTGAAGGGAAAAGGGGAAGTAGGGGATACCCCTTCAGCTGGCAGTAACTGGGCACCTACATGGGAAGCCCTAGATCTGCAAATGCTTTGAGCTATAAAAAGTTTGAAAAGCTGGATGTGAGACAGCAGTCTAATTTAAGGGGATGATAAAGGCTGGGATCCTAATTCTCACCCCAAACCCCAATAGCATAGTTCTATTTGGCCAATCCAAAAAGCAGGTGTATCTTGGAACTGACCTGTAGACTCCCATGGTCTGAATGAAGTGATATGTCCCCTAATGCTTTCTCTGGCTGTCCCTAAGACAATTAACTAGTAAGAAAGCATACCAGATTTCAGATTAGTTTATGATTGCAGAATTGGCAAATGACCCCATTTTCAATCCCTATTTCAAAGGCAAAGCAGTGTCTTCCTGGTTTGCCATTCTCTGGGAAGAAATGCAGTCCCTGCTGCCTCTGCGAGAGGTGAATTCTCTGCTTGGCATCCAAACTTGGGGGGTGGCGGGATCTAGCTTTACTGTCAATAAAATGTACCATGACACTTCATATTAATAATAAGGTGGCCACTGAGCTCCCAGAACAGACCTGACAAGTTTGTTGACCCGGAGGACAGGGGGAACAGGCTTGTCCGTTCTACGAGAACATATCCAACAGACAGACCTGCCCAGGCATAAAAGGACATATATACAATATGAGTCACAATGTGGTTGGTCAGAGCTCAAGTTTTGCAGCAGTCTGGATGCTCATTGATAAGAGACTGGTTAAAGATAGACTACTTGCACATAGGCTCAAAATAAAAGGATGGAGGAAGATCTACCAAGCAAATGGAAAACAAAAAAAGGCAGAGGTTGCAATCTTAGTCTCTGATAAAACAGACTTTAAACCAACAATGATCAAAAGAGACAAAGAAGGCCATTACATAATGGTAAAGGGATCAATTCAACAAGAAGAGCTAACTATCCTAAATATATATGCACCCAATACAGGAGCCCCCAGTTTCATAAAGCAAGTCCTGAGTGACCTACAAAGAGAATTAGACTCCCACACATTAATAATGGGAGACTTGTAACACCCCACTGTCAACATTAGACTGATCAACGAGACAGAAAGTCAACAAGGATACCCAGGAATTGAACTCAGCTCTGCACCAAGCGGACCTAATAGACATCTACAGAACTCTCCACCCCAAATCAACAGAATATACGTTTTTTTCAGCACCACACCACACCTATTCCAAAATTGACCACATACTTGGAAGTAAAGCTCTCCTCAGCAAATGTAAAAGAACAGAGATTATAACAAACTATCTCTCAGACCACAGTGCAATCAAACTAGAACTCAGGATTAAGAATCTCACTCAAAACCGCTCAACTACATGGAAACTGAACAACCTGCTCCTGAATGACTACTGGATACATAACGAAATGAAGGCAGAAATAAAGATGTTCTTTGAAACCAACGAGAACAAAGACACAACATACCAGAATCTCTGGGACGCATTCAAAGCAGTGTGTAGAGGGAAATTTATAGCAC
This sequence comes from Homo sapiens, assembly GCF_000001405.40. NCBI lineage: Eukaryota > Metazoa > Chordata > Mammalia > Primates > Hominidae > Homo > Homo sapiens. Next base: position 92,140,115 of record NC_000015.10, on the reverse strand, counting down.
TAAATGCCCACAAGAGAAAGCAGGAAAGATCCAAAATTGACACCCTAACATCACAATTAAAAGAACCAGAAAAGCAAGAGCAAACACATTCAAAAGCTAGCAGAAGGCAAGAAATAACTAAAATCAGAGCAGAACTGAAGGAAATAGAGACACAAAAAAACCCTTCAAAAAATTAATGAATCCAGGAGCTGGTTTTTTGAAAGGATCAACAAAATTGATAGACCGCTAGCAAGACTAATAAAGAAAAAAAGAGAGAAGAATCAAATAGACACAATAAAAAATGATAAAGGGGATATCACCACCGATCCCCCAGAAATACAAACTACCATCAGAGAATACTACAAACACCTCTGTGCAAATAAACTAGAAAATCTAGAAGAAATGGATAAATTCCTCGACACATACACTCTCCTGAGACTAAACCAGGAAGAAGTTGAATCTCGGAATAGACCAATAACAGGAGCTGAAATTGTGGCAATAATCAGTAGTTTACCAACCAAAAAGAGTCCAGAACCAGATGGATTCACAGCCGAATTCTACCAGAGGTACAAGGAGGAACTGGTACCATTCCTTCTGAAACTATTCCAATCAATAGAAAAAGAGGGAATCCTCCCTAACTCATTTTATGAGGCCAGCATCATTCTGACACCAAAGCTGGGCAGAGACACAACCAAAAAAGAAAATTTTAGACCAATATCCTTGATGAACATTGATGCCAAAATCCTCAATAAAATACTGGCAAAACGAATCCAGCAGCACATCAAAAAGCTTATCCACCATGATCAAGTGGGCTTCATCCCTGGGATGCAAGGCTGGTTCAATATACGCAAATCAATAAATGTAATCCAGCATATAAACAGAGCCAAAGACAAAAACCACATGATTATCTCAATAGATGCAGAAAAAGCCTTTGACAAAATTCAACAACCCTTCATGCTAAAAACTCTCAATAAATCAGGTATTGATGGGACATATTTCAAAATAATAAGAGCTATCTATGACAAACCCACAGCCAATATCATACTGAATGGGCAAAAACTGGAAGCATGCCCTTTGAAAACTGGCACAAGACAGGGATGCCCTCTCTCACCACTCCTATTCAACATAGTGTTGGAAGTTCTGGCCAGGGCAATTAGGCAGGAGAAGGAAATAAAGGGTATTCAATTAGGAAAAGAGGAAGTCAAATTGTCCCTGTTTGCAGACGACATGATTGTATATCTAGAAAACCCCATTGTCTCAGCCCAAAATCTCCTTAAGCTGATAAGCAACTTCAGCAAAGTCTCAGGATACAAAATCAATGGGCAAAAATCACAAGCATTCTTATACACCAACAACAGACAAACAGAGAGCCAAATCATGAGTGAACTCCCATTCACAATTGCTTCAAAGAGAATAAAATACCTAGGAATCCAACTTACAAGGGATGTGAAGGACCTCTTCAAGGAGAACTACAAACCACTGCTCAAGGAAATAAAAGAGGATACAAACAAATGGAAGAACATTCCATGCTCATGGGTAGGAAGAATCAATATCGTGAAAATGGCCATACTGCCCAAGGTAATTTATAGATTCAATGCCATCCCCATCAAGCTACCAATGACTTTCTTCACAGAATTGGAAAAAACTACTTTAAAGTTCAGATGGAACCAAAAAAGAGCCCCCATCGCCAAGGCAATCCTAAGCCAAAAGAACAAAGCTGGAGGCATCACACTACCTGACTTCAAACTATACTACAAGGCTACAGTAACCAAAACAGCATGGTACTGGTACCAAAACAGAGATATAGATCAATGGAACAGAACAGAGCCCTCAGAAATAACGCCACATATCTACAACTATCTGATCTTTGACAAACCTGAGAAAAACAAGCAATGGGGAAAGGATTCCCTATTTAATAAATGGTGCTGGGAAAACTGGCTAGCCATATGTAGAAAGCTGAAACTGGATCCCTTCCTTACACCTTACACAAAAATCAATTCAAGATGGATTAAAGACTTAAACATTAGACCTAACACCATAAAAACCCTAGAAGAAAACCTAGGCATTACCATTCAGGACATAGGCATGGGCAAGGACTTCATGTCCAAAACACCAAAAGCAATGGCAACAAAAGACAAAATTGACAAATGGGATCTAATTAAACTAAAGAGCTTCTGCACAGCAAAAGAAACTACCATCAGAGTGAAAAGGCAACCTACAAAATGGGAGAAAATTTTCGCAACCTACTCATCTGACAAAGGGCTAATATCCAGAATCTACAATGAACTCAAACAAATTTACAAGAAAAAAACAAACAACCCCGTCAAAAAGTGGGCGAAGGACATGAACAGACACTTCTCAAAAGAAGACATTTATGCAGCCAAAAAACACATGAAAAAATGCTCATCATCACTGGCCATCAGAGAAATGCAAATCAAAACCACAATGAGATACCATCTCACACCAGTTAGAATGGCAATCATTAAAAAGTGAGGACACAACAGGTGCTGGAGAGGATGTGGAGAAATAGGAACACTTTTACACAGTTGGTGGGACTGTGAACTAGTTCAACCATTGTGGAAGTCAGTGTGGCAATTCCTCAGGGATCTAGAACTAGAAATACCATTTGACCCAGCCATCCCATTACTGGGTATATACCCAAAGGACTATAAATCATGCTGCTATAAAGACACATGCACACGTATGTTTATTGCAGCATTATTCACAATAGCAAAGACTTGGAACCAACCCAAATGTCCAACAATGATAGACTGGATTAAGAAAATGTGGCACATATACACCATGGAATACTATGCAGCCATAAAAAATGATGAGTTCATGTCCTTTGTAGGGACATGGATGAAATTGGAAATCATCATTCTCAGTAAACTATCACAAGAACAAAAAACCAAACACAGCATATTCTCACTCATAGGTGGGAATTGAACAATGAGATCACATGGACACAGGAAGGGGAACATCACACTCTGGGGACTGCTGTGGGGTGGGGGGACGGGGGAGGGATAGCATTGGGAGATATACCTAATGCTAGATGACGAGTTAGTGGGTGCAGCGCACCAGCATGGCACATGTATACATATGTAACTAACCTGCATAATGTGCACATGTACCCTAAAACTTAAAGTATAATTAAAAAAAAAAAAAAAAGACAGACTACTTGGTCCACGCGATGGAATACTATATAGCCATAAAAAGGTAGAAGAACATCCCTTATGTACTAATTTAGAAATAACTCCCAGGTAAACTATTAACTGAAAAAGCCAAACAAAATAGTGAGGTACAGAATAGGGCCTTTTATGTGCAGTAAAAAATCCAGAAGGATGTACAAGAAACCAAGGACAGCAATCATCTATTTGGCAGGTTGAGGAAGAAGTAAATAGCGGACACAGGTGAAAGGGAGAGTCCCTCATATCCTCCTTTTTATACTTTTTGGCTTTTGAATCATATAAATGTATTCAAAATGGAAAATGTTATAAAATAAAGAAATCAATGAAAGAATAGCACATCACTGAAAACTGTATTTCTGTTCCACCTTCAGTCATTAATTTCAATTGAGAAATGTTTCTATTCACATACAATGATGAGAATAAATAATTACAAGAAGGCTAGAGACCACAAAAATAGAAAAATGACTCTCTGGAATCTTGCATTTGTTTTCTATTGATGAAGGAAGCAGTCGGCATGCTATTTTGACAGCCGGTATTACAAGAACAAGATACTGCTCAGCAGTGTTTCAAAAATACTGGCAAATAAAGTTGTTTTCTGCCTGTTATTTTCCCCCCACATCCAATCCTGATGATCGATCCCTATTAATTGTACAAAGGAAGCGAAGTTCAAGGTGGAAAGATTATTTTTCTAAGAGGATTGTATGGGGATATTTGTATTACGAGCCTTCTATGGAAACTTGAAAGGTAGAGGATCGCCCCTGGAATACTGTTTTTGCTTTTCCTCCTTGAAAGCAGTTAGCAGAGATACATGAAAATTTCTTTTCTCTTTCCTTTTTTCAGAGATGAGGTCTTAGTTTGCAGTGCAGTGGCATGATCATAGCTTACTGCAGTCTCAAACTCCTGGGCTCAAGTAAGCCACCTGCCTGCCTCATTTTTTATCTTTTCAGAGATAGGGGTCTCACTATGTTGCCCAAGCTGGTCTCAAGTTTGGGGCCTCAAGTGCTCCTCCCCTCCTCAGCTCCTGAGTAGATGGGATTACAGAGGCATGCCACCATGCCTGGCTCTGGCAGTTTCTAGAAATGTTCATAAAGGGAGTTTACCGGGGAGTACCACCACAGGCCATGCTCTTCCTGCTTTTGCCTGTGAGATCTTTGATCTTTTGCACCTGATGTTCTAATAGCTGAGATATCAAAGAACGTGGGACACCACCACAATAAAGTGGGGTGTTTTCCTTTGAATGGCAACATACTTCTCTGAGTCCCAGACACTTATGGATTTTCTCATAATTCACTGACGTTCCTCAGACAGTCTCCTGTCATTTATTACTGTCTTTTTGTAGCTTAGCATCTCTTCACTTCATTGGTTCAACCAAAGCTGGTATTTCCAGACATAACCCTCAGATCTCATCACAAAGGGCGCCAATGGCAACCTGCAAGATCAAGGCAAAGGGGACACTGAAAAACTGCAAGAAGAAATACGATCTCTTCTTCCCTTGTGGGGTCACTGGCTGAAGAATAATGGCCAGGGAGAAAAATTCTGAGATGAAAGCAAGACCTCCTTCCACCTTGCACCCCGGTAACCTGTGGCGCGTGAGCCTGAGCACGTCCTGTTAGATCTTAATTATCTCCTGCTGAGGGGAGGAAGGGGGTTTTTATTTGGGGAGCAGAAAGGCTCACTCTGCTCCAGCTATCTAACATAGGACACAGTGGGGAGATCACGGAAAGGTGAAAGGCATGACTGCAACTCTGAAGGAACACAGGGCCCCTCCATCTCTCCCTCCAGCTTTCTCTCTTCCAACTCCAAACCTGCCTGCATCATGAGGTCCAAATTGTCACACCTCAGCCTGTGCACTCTTCCGGCTAGAATGTCCTTCCATGCCTGGCTACCAAACACCCACTACCCTTCATGATGAAAGCCTGGCCCTTGCCACGTCTCCCCCTCCAACTCCTGGGCTCAAGTGAGCCACCTGCCCTGCTAATTTTTTTTACATCTTTTCAGAGATGGGGGTCTCATTCACCCCATCCCCCAGCGGAGAACATGCCCACTCCCTCCTTCCACCCCTGCCCCACCCAGAACCAATTTCTACCCCAGCAGGCCTGATACTGCAAGTTCACTGATTTGTCTACACAGCTGCTTCCCTCTTTTAGAACCTAACCTAACCACCTAACCTTTAATGTTGGATTTTTTAAATTAAAAAAATCTGTTCCTCATTGGAAAAGTGATAATCATTTTAGATATTTTTGAAATATACACAAAAACTGGAAACAAATAAGCAAAATTTAGTTTTTTGGCCCCTAACCTGAAGTATCCATCTACGAATGGATGGCTATATGTTCTTCCAATATTTTTTATGCAAAGATATGCATATATTTAGATGTTTCTTTATCAAAAGGGATTATTGTCTATGTATTATTTTACAATGTGTTCTTTTCACTTAACTATATTGTAAGGTAAGGTTAGGTGTTGCTTTGGGTGCTCCCTTGGACATACCTCTATTAATAATATGACATCTCATTTTATAGTAAACATGAGCTCCTTTCCTTATTCATCTCTACACTTACAATGCCTAGCAGAGGGCCTGAGATATATCAGGTGTCCCAGGTGGCGATGCCCCAGTAGGGTTTGATTTCAGAATAGTCACAAGTCCCTTCTGACAAGCCATTACCAGGATAAGTACAGACTTTTAAATCAGCTCTGGCAGACAGGGCCAGGCTATATGAGGAGGGCTGCAAACCGTAAGCCTTTGGAACCAGACAGGAAACATACACTTAAAAAATGGCTCAGGTGTAAGGGATGGCCAGTGGTGGGGGCTGTGTCTAAGTAGACAGCAAATGTCCTGCCCAAAAGGCCAGCGCTTCTCAGTTCCAGCCAACCACTGCCCTACTGGGGTGCAGGTCCCATGATAGCTATCTTCCAACTTTTTCAGGGAGGCCCAGTTAAACTTTGGCTCAGGCCACATTAAATATATCTTCAGGGCAGACACGCTGTTTGTTTCCTGTGCTGCAACATGCTTTATGGCAGAGGTCCCCAACCTTTTTGGTACCAAGGACCAGTTTCGTGGAAGACAATTATTCCACTGACCAGTGGGGTTTGGGGGATAGTTTCAGGATGATTCAAGCACATCACATTTATCATGCGCTTTATTTCTATTATTACATTGTATTATATAATGAAATGTAATTATACAATTCACCATAAAGTAGAATCAGTGGGAGCCCTGAGCTTGTTTTCCTGTAACTAGACGGTCCCATCTAGGGATGATGGGAGACAATGACAGATCATCGGGCATTAGATTCCCCTAAGGCACACGCACCCTAGATCCCTCGCGTGCGCAGTTCACAGTAAGTTCATGCTCCTGTAAGAATCCAATGCCACTGCTGATCTGACAGGAGGCAGAGCTCAGGCAGTAATGTGAGCGATGGGGAGCGGCTATAAATACAGATAAAGCTTTGCTCACCTGCCACTCGCCTCCTGCTGTGCGGCCCAGTTCCCAACAGTACCAGTACCGCAGACTGGCACTGGTGCTAGATGTGGGGGACCCCTGCTATATGGCATATCTAACTCTCCAGTTGGTTTTTATAGTGGGCAAATATGGTCATGGTGAGAAGAAAAAAGAGACTGAATGATGAATACTCAGTGTCAGCTTAGATGCTGACCTTTTTCAAGAAAGACACAATTTATAGAACATGCCTCATCCCTTCTATGACAGCGGTGGTTCTTCACTGGGGGTGATGATATCCCCCGAGGGACATGTGGCAATGTCTGGAGACATTTACAGTTGTCGGAACTTGTGGCTGGGGAGGGCAGGGGTGGCATCTGGTGGGGAGAGCCCAGGGATGCTGGTAAAAACACAGTGCATAGGGCAGCGCCTCATGACAATCCATTATCTGGCCCAAAATGTCAACAGTGCCGTGACTGAGAAGCCCTGTATTAGAACAGCGGTTCTCCATCCTGGTTACAAATCAAAAACACTTGAGGAGGTTAAAAAAATACTGATGCATGGATCTTACTCCAAAATAAGGGAATCAGAATCTCTGAGAGTGGGGCCTCATGTTTTAAAAGCTCCCACGTGATCCTAAGGTGCGGCCTGTATTGAGACCCGTCACACTGAACCATGAGCTGCCTGCCTGGGCCCATAATGGAGCTGTCCTCCTCCCCGCCACAGAACCTACTTGGCATTTCACTGAAACAGGTGCTCAATAAATATTTGTTGCCTGGAATGGGGGGGATGAATTAGTCATCTATCATCAGTACCCTACAAACTGCAGTGCTGGACTCATACTGACTTTCAACATTCTATTGGTGGCTGATGGAAGTTTTTTTTTTTTTCTATTCAATTATTTAGTACATCAAAAGGATACAACTTACAGCCATCAGTCCACAGCATACTAACATGCTTCTGTTGGAATAATTACTTCTGAAAGTGAAAGGTACAGAAACAATCTGGACCATATATTCACGCCAAAGGAAATTTACAGAATTAACTCAATTTTTTTTTGGTCACCCTTCCTGGTCATATGCAGTGAGAAGAATTAGAAGTCGTACATTAAATGCAGGCCTGGAAACTTCCATTGCTATCACTCAAGGAGATATAAGAAAATAAAAAAAAAAAATCCAATCCAGAGCAGGAAGAAAAGTTTAATATCAGGAAACCACTAACACTAATCAGATTTCCCTATAATCAGAATTATTTGATCAGTGACTTATTTACATCTAATTGAGTTATGGGGAATTTTCACGTCTTGATGGAAACGATAAAGTGGTGAGTGGCGAGCAAGGATCAGGTCTTTAGTACTGAAACTGGCACCATCCAACCTACCCACTTGCCAACTGCTAAACAAGAGAATGGTATTACCCCTGGATCCCTGGGGCTCTCTGAGGTCAGTACAGGGCCTCCAGCTGGGTGTTGAGAAAGCCTGGAGCCTTTATCCAGAGCCATGGCTGACAGTGAGAATGCAAGGTTCCATAACAGAGCCCCTGTCCCTGCAGCTTAATGAGGGAGGTGCCAGAGTAAATGAGCCATTAGAACAGGTGAGGTGAGAGCCTTGCTAGGCAAGAGCAGGGGCAATAGGGGTTTGCAGGAAGGGCACTAACACAGCCCTGGAGGAAGCAATGAGCTGGAGAAGGCTTCTCAGCAGTGGTGAAGGAGAGACAGCCCTGAGAGATAAGACAGAGCTTAGAAGGGAGAGACTGCTGCAGATAAGAGAAACAACACGTGCAAAGGCCCAGGGGCAGGGAGAGCTTGATGTGTTGGGGAACTGCAAGTTCCACTTACCAAGTGGCTCTTTAAGAGGTGAGAGGCCTTGTAATCCCAGCACTTTGGGAGGCCGAGACGGGTGGATCACTTGAGGTCAGGAGTTCAAGACCAGCCTGGCCGTCACGGTGAAAAACCCCGTCTCTACCAAAAATATAAAAAATTAGCTGGGTGTGGTGGTGTTTGCCTATAATCCCAGCTACTTGGGAGGCTGAGGCAGGAGAATCACTTGAACCCGGGAGGCAGAGGTTGCAGTGAGCCGAGGTTGTGCCATTGCACTCCAGCCTGGGTGACAGAGCGAGACCCTGTCTCAAAAAAAAAAAAAAAAAAGAGGTGGGAGGAATAGGGAGGTTGAGGCTGGAGAGGCAGCCAGGGCCAGATGGTAAAGGCCAAATAAATGTCTCGAATGAGAAGTGCATGTTTGAAGAGGTAGAAAAAAGGTGGACCTCTTAGGGGAGGTACAGAGGGAGACACTATTTTTCCTTTCTTGGTGTCCATGTGTACTCGACATTGGACAGACCCTACATTCAAAAGCCAGATCCCCCACTTCCTATTGCATGGCCTTGGGCAAGTGACTAACCTCATCTGTATTCAGGAAATAAGAAGAACACCTATTTCCCAAGGGTGCTGGGAGGATCAATGAGATAATATACACAGGGTTGAGGCCGTGGGTGGAAGAATTGATGAAACCAGGGAAAATGGCTGAACTCACATTGGGGAAGGTGGAGAATTCCAGGGGATCACTGTGAAAAGGAGGAGGTGAAAGGTTTTAGCTTGTCAAAGAGTTTTTTTTTTTTTTTTTTTTTTTTGCCCCGAACTTGGAGACAAGAAGAGTGGAGAAAAAAGGGGGCGAGGGAGGGAGTACACATACCAGGAATATAGCCACCATTTGGCATTTTCCCAAAATACTGCAGCAGAGATTTAAAGGATTTAAATTGCTTTTCACTCATTTTTGGATGTTGGCCTGAGATTTCTCTGACTCTGGGCCAAGCTGCCATGGGTCACGAGTGACACACGGAAGGCCCCATTACCTGGACCTTAATAGGCTCTCGACAAAGCCTGCTGCTGCTGCTGCAAGTTTTATGGTTGTGGTTGTTTTTAAGGCTAGACTGTCACAAGGGTCCCTTTCCAGGATAAGCATTGCTCTGGGTCTCCAAATCCCTCATCCACTTGTTGGAAGCCAGGGCATCTAGAGATCTGCCTCTGCAGGGAAGGCACTGTATGCCTCACCCCAGCTCTGGGGCCTGGTGGTTTCTCTGTCTCTGCATTGCAATTGCATGAGAATATCCTCCTTGCCTCACCTACACCCCAGCAGACAATGTGAGGCCTCGAGTAACCTGAATAAAAGGCAGGTGTCTGGGGGACAAACAGTAGGTCCAGAGGTAAGCAGAGAAGCTTACAGTCTGATAACTGCATTCTCCAGCTTCGCTGTTTCAGCAGTGGGATGCAGCCACAGATGGGCCTGGTAAGGCTCTTATTCAATAAGACTCCTGTACATGCAAGATCAGGGGAAATGCAATTTTTAAGATAATTTTTTTGGTCAGTGCATTCCCTGGAATAGAGACTCATTTGGTCTCAGGACACTAGACTATACTGAGTCAATTTAATTCTTATAACAGGACAATAACCGAGACTGATTTATAATGTAACTTTCTGGATATTAAAATGTTAATGAAATTGTTGTCATGAAAAATAATGGCTTGTGTTTTTATTTGAACCATTCTCAAGGCCCATCCCTTCTTTTAAAATTTATTTCCACTCACATAAAGAAATTGCTTTATCATCTAATTTTAAAAAATCAGTTTCTCCCACCCACCCCCCATGGTGATTTATTTTCTCTAAAGAAAATGTTAATAACTGGCCAGGAATCTAAATGCTAAACACAAGGAAAAATGAAATCTTTGAAAATGAAAATAAATGATCCATTTTTCTTCTTTCAGAGAAATTGCTGCTCCTGAAAGATATAAGATGTAGGAAGAAGCAGCAGCTAATGATCTCAACTCTAAGTCCCTTGAAAGCTGCCACTGGGGGTTCATATTTTCCTTCCCACTATGCCTTGCACAGACATTCATGGAGTACTTCTGGGTGCTGGCCCTTGCTTAAGAAATCCAAAGACCAGAGCAGATGACAGACACTTCTAGCAAATCATCGTAATAAAGTGAGAACAATGTCTTTAGGAGAAAGAGGCACCGAAGGACTTCAGGGAGAAAAACCCCAAAGATAAAAAGGGAAGGGATGGTTTCAGAGGAGGGGACATTGGAGGAGGCTACTGACCGGTGAGTAGGACCTGTCCAGCTGGAGGGAGGTGTATGAAAAGACAGGTTGTATGGGGGAAGCTGAACACCACAAACTGAAAGGAGGTAGAGCTGAAGACACGTGGCACCTAGAACTGATCTTCTAGTTGACAGAGTAGCATGAGAAAGGGTCATTTGCTATGTTACAGAAACCCTTCTGACTGCAGTGTTGAAGAAAACGAAGGACATAAGGGGCCATCCTGGGAGGCCAGGTAGGACCTACTGCTCGGGTCCAAGCAAGAGATGGGGGCGGGGCCTCCACAGGGCAGGTGCCAAGGACTCCTGGAAGGTGGGATCAGCACCAATGGATGACCCGTCACTTAGCATCAGGTTTTCAGGGAGAGAGCGTGGAAAGCTGTGGGCTGACAGCCAATTGTAAAATCCACGCTAAGCAGGAAAAAGCAACCCACCTCCTCCCAAAAATGTGTCAGGAACATGGAAAGAGGTGGGAGGCATTTAGTTAGGAGGAAAATGGCAAAGCAAACTGGGTAGGAAAGAAGCTGAATTGGTGTCAGAGTGTTTCAGGTCTGGAAGAAGTCTTTCCTGATAAATGGTTTTTAAGCCTCTCTTGACATACTTCTGGTGATGGGGAGCTCACTACCCATGCAGACATCCTATTTCATTGACACTGCAAGTACCTTGAACCACCATCTTTTCCTTTGGTTCCATATATACAGCTTCCTTTGAATTTTTACTTTCAGTTGCACAATGAGACTTCCTACAAACCCACTTGATTTAGCAAGAAGACCTGAATCAGTCCTCTCATCCTGCTGATGGAACATCTTCCACTACAGCAAGGCAACAGCTAAGAAAAAGTCACAGGGAAGGCGAACAACCTGGGCAAAAACTTGGGTTTTAAGCCACTTTAGCTGCCTGAATCCCCTGCCCCATCCCCTGCCCCATCCCATTACCGTGCTGTTGCAGCCAGCAAAGCAGGCAGACAGGTAGGTGATGCCATCTGCCCCACACACTGGAGTGAAGGAATCGGTTTGGCATTCACAGTTATTATTGCAGGGCGAGTAGGGGTCCAGGGCTGAGCCAGGTGCTGTGCTGGAAAAGAAAGGAAACACGGAAGCCATTAGAAACAGGTCAATTCGGAATCAGATGCCCCCAGTGACAGCCTTTTGCCTCTGTTGTGATGAGTCGCGTGGTACCCTGCTTATGGGATTGTTACCTGGTTCTCCCTTCCCTTTTCCTTTACCAACCTTAGCCTATCCTGTCCAGCAAGGAGCAGCCCAGGGCCACTGCTGAGAGCTACGTGGGTTGTGCCCTGGCCAATGATGCCAGCTTGGGTGGTGGGCTGGGTGGGAGCTGAGTCCACTCCAGCCCCTCTCATGAAGCGAGGAGGAAGATGCTTTTTATCACTGGTATTGATGTGCCCTCTGGGCTGGTGGCAGTTGGGACTGCTCAGGGCCACCCCCTCCACGATGCCTCTCCTGATTGCTAAGGCCTCAGCTTATCCCCCTGTCCTGAACACTGCTATGCCTGCACCACTGAGGATTTAACTTCTTCCCTCTTTGGGCTGGTTCTTGTCTCTTTGCTTTATTCCTCCCCTACAGTCAGGAAGCCTCATGATGCTTACTTACTACACTGCTTCAACCAGACTGACTTCAATAATTATTGTCTAATTGATTCAATGTCCTGAGAAAAATAACACTAAGGTGTTTTAATTTTCCTTTGCATCATTAAAGGCAAAGTTATCTAGAGCAAGCAAACTGAAAAAAGAACAAAAGGGTAGAGTGAGTGTATTAGCTCTATAAGAGAGGAAATGTCTCTTCTTTACTCTGATCATTTTCAGCTATGTCTCCTAAGGCTCAGAGCACTTCATAATAATAAAGGTGACGATGGCGACACCCGGCAATTTATGCGTCATGCACTATTCAAAGTACTGCATGGATTATTTCATTTATTCTCATTATAACCCCATGGGCTTTAGAGAAGAAACCGAGGCACAGCCAGGTTAAGTGACTTGTCCAAAAGTACAGAAGTCATAAATGGTAGAGGAGGCGCTGGAACTAGGGCTGTGTGATGTAGGATATACACTTTTCTTTTCTTTTTCATGGAAGAATAACGTCATTATAGTAAGACCTTGTGCTCCTAACCACTACCCTTTACTCCTTGGGAGTTGAGCAGTCTGCTACTTGAGACAGCTGTTATGCATAGCAGGTGCAAACGGGAAGAAGACATATCTGAACACGAAGTCGGGGCCAGGCTGGGGCGGGGATTGGAAGGGGCAACCCCGTGATGGTGTAAAGGGGAAGGAGGGGCACATGGTGCCTGGATTGTACACAGACATACAGAAAGCTGCCTCTGTTCTGCTCTCCCACTCTGCCTGCTCACCCTTGTGGGTGGCAGAGAAGCCCTGGCTCCACTGCATCTTCCGGCACAAGCGCAGGAGCAGGCCTCGTGGTCTGCTTGGAGGAAGAGTCTGGCTCTAGAGAGAGAAACTGGTAACCTGCAGGCCAGCCATGCTTCAGCCTCGATGCTCCAGGCTGGATTTCCAAGGCAGCCTCAGTCCCATGTGGAAAAGGGGACAGCTATTGATACTGGATAGCTGAAGACTCCCCATAATTCCCTCTAAGGGCAATTCTCACTGGACTCTAGTCCCAAGTCTTGGGATAAAAACTAGGAAGAAAGAAAAGTGGTCCTATGAGAACTAACTTCCTTCTCTTCCTCCCTCCCTTTTTCTCCCCCTTTCCCTCGCTACACTTAAGAACACCTGCCATGGGCCAGATCCTGTAATTGCCATGTGAGCCTAATGACAGCTTCTGATAGTTTAAGGAATTGTTGAAATCAAATCAATTCTGTCTTTTATTTTGAGCTGAATTTTGAATTAAAATTTTTATTTTCTCTCTTCACATTTTTCCTAAAGTCAAATGCCAAAAATCGCGATGTGAGTCTGCCAGGGAGGAAACGGCTTCTCTTCTCCCCCAGTGCTTCCCAGCCTTTGAGTGGAAAGGTCTGCTTTCTCAGCCCAGAGGGTTCTACTGATTCTCCAACGTGGACAGTAAGATGCAGAGGCAGCCGTGATGCGTCTCCTCAGGTCACTAGGAACAAAGCTGGTTCCCTCAACCTACTGCAGAGGGAGATTGCTAGGGTCCCTGAACAGGCAGGAAGGCGGCAGACACTGCCAGTACTCACCTGTTTCCATAGGGAACAGTAACCCCAGCCACAGGGCCAGTGTCGCAGCCCAGGAAGAGGAAGGAGACGTAGCAAGCAGTGGACACCAGGTTGACGAGCATGGCCATCCGAATGGCCCCCAGGGCAGACAGGCTGAGCTTCTTCACCAAAAGACCTCCCAGGAAGATACCCAGACAAGCACACGGGATCGCAGTCATCCCTGGAAGGAAAATAGAGGGGCAGGGCTGTGAACAGGGAAGGTGGGGCCAGTCTACAGACAGGCGGGCAGCAGGCCTGAGGCTGAGTCCCGTGAATGCCCTATGACCCCACTGTGGTGTCACTGCCTCCATGGGACCCTGGAGTCTTCAGGAAGGGCCTGATTTATGCCCCCAGGGAGCTCATGGAGAACTGGGGGAGACAGACATAAAGCAACTCTGCTTCATGAATCTAAGTGCACGCACCTGTCCTGCTAAGTGGGGCACCCTCAGGAGAAACGCAAGCTGAAGAGGGGACTACCAAGAGATGGAGTCAGAGAGACTGGGAACACAGACATGCCTTCGGGAGGGTACATATCACGGAGCAGTGATGTGCTCTGTGAGCATTTTTGAGATGAGATGTGGGAAGCGGACTTGAGATCATTTAGGGATTTTTCTCCTCGTCTTCTAATGAGGCAAGAAGGGAGGGTTTCACGGAAAGTACGGAGGCTGTTTAACCTAAAGGTCACGGAATTCACCAGGCCATAGAGAGAGTGTTTGAACCAGCTCCGCCACCCCTCAGGAAGTGGCATCAATCAATATGTTTTGTAGCTCTTGGTGAATAAATGGCATATATATTTTTTCCTTTCTCTCTCTTCTACCCAGGGCTATCTACAAGTGAGCAGGACCATAAACCTGTTATTTCTGATTCGCAGAGACCATGGCATTTTAGGAGGACCAAAGGATCCCAGGGTTCCAAGCTCCTGCGTTGGTTTTGCTCCATTCTGATTCATCTCATCTAAAACTCAGCTTTCAATTGCTACGTGTCATTTATCTACCATGTAGATGATGCATGGCCAATTTTCCAGTCTAGGCTGCCTTCTTGCCAATCAACAGACCTCTAGGTCAACTGACTACATTAACCAGCTGGTATGTGCTAAGGGAATGCAAATTAATTTTAATATTGGGGTGAGAAAATATAATAAGGGGGTATAGCTCTGCAAGAAAACAGCACAAGTCATACTTAAAATGACATATAATATCTCTTTATCATCTGCTGCTCTTGGAGTATCTGTGCTTGGTTTTCTTCCCTTGGTATAGGAGTGATGTCATGAGCCAGCTCCTGGGTGCCTCTTTATCCTCATCCTGCACCGCACTGCCCATCCCAACCATGCCACTGTCCCTCCTTTCTCTCCCTAGGACAGGCCAAACAGTTCTGCTTCCCCAGGCTTTGCACGTGCAGTTCCCTCTCCTGGGACACTTGCCCGATGTGTTTACTTGGCTGGCCCCTACTCTCTTCAGACAGGTTTCCCAGGCCACCCTATGTAGAGATCCATGCATCCCCACCCTGAGATTCCATACTGTTTTCATGGCTCTCTCAGCTCTTTGAAGCAGCCTCATTTATTTTTGGGTTTCTTGTTTCTTGCTCTCTCTCTCTCTCTCTGCTAGGATACAGCTTTCCTGTGGACAAAAACCCTTTTTGTCTTGTTCAGTCCCGCCTAGATTCTCTGTGTCTAGCATGGTACCCAGCACGGAGTGGGCATCCAAGTATTATTTTCAGAATGAATGAGCTAAGGAACAGATTGGATGTGTGTGAATGGACATCAGTGACAACATGCCCACACCCAGAAAGCAGGCCTGTGTTTTGTTTCATTTCCTAGCAGAGACAGTGGGGGTGTCACCTGTCAAGGATGGTAACCATGGCAATCACAGGCTTTCACACCTTTTCTCCAAGCCATTGTCAGGCCCCCTCCCTCCCTGATGTATGTGCTGTCCTTAACACTCCAGGCGGTGATCAGAACTTCCCTGAAATTCCATTCTCATTACGTTAACCTATGCAGATTGAGTCCTTTTTATCTTCACTCACAAATCAGCACCACCAGCTCTTTAATCACCTGTGTTGCTCTTCTCTGAGCTCTGCCCCATTTGCTGATGACTTTGCAAGGGGTGGAAGGGGGGCCAGTGCTGATGCTCTGGGATGACTGCCTGGGCCTCATCTCCCAAGTCTGCCTTCTCTAACCGCCCACTGCCAGCCCCTCCTGCAGCCAGCCTCCAGCGTCCACACTGACTAGACTGTCACCAAGGGCAGGGCACACACAGAGGGCACCTGTGCTGCTTGCCTGGACTGCCCAGCTCAGGAGAAGGTGCCTCCTGCCAAGCACACCAGCAGACAGAAATCACTGGGAGACAGAAAGGCGCAATAAGGCAGAATTGTTTTTTTGACCTTCTGCCCTGAAGACTATTGATTTGTTTGTCGATAGAAGATGTAGGCATCTGTTCTGAAACAGAGCACTGCCCAAAGTTGAAGCAACTGTGCAAATGGAATCAAAATGGAAGAAAAAGCAGCAGAGGAGTCAGCAGGTGAGAGATAAACTCTTCAGGTGCTGAAGGGCTAAACCTGAGATCCTGGGGATAACAAAGAAGTTACAACTTTAATTATAAAGAGGTGTATTTTACCCTATCTCTGTCGGGCAGATATTAAAGGGCTGACTGCATTTTGCCAATACCTCTTGGAGGTAAAATTGACCAAGTGGTGGGTGGTAGAGAGTTCTTTGTGTAAAAGAAAAACATAAGACTTGTGGTACCCTGGCAGTTCCCAGGGAGAGGGGTGGTAATCTGGCCATATCATTGTGATAGGGTTTTACATTTTATTTTATTTATTTATTTATTTTATTTTTCGAGACAAAGTCTCACTCTTGTCCCCCAGGCTGGAGTGCAATGGCGCGATCTCGGCTCACTGCAACCTCCACCTCCCAGGTTCAAGCGATTCTACTGCCTCAGCCTCCCAAGTAGCTGGGATGACACGCCTAATTTTTGTATTTTTAGTAGAGATGGGGTTTTACCATGTTGGCCAGGCTGGTCTTGAACTCTTGACCTCAGGTGATCCACCCACCTCAGCCTCCCAAAGTGTTGGGATTACAGGTGTGAGCCACCACGCCTGGCCTACTTTTTCTTTTAAACTGAGATATGTTATGTCCTGTGAAGTACACAGAGCTTAAGGGAACAGCCTGATGAACTTTTGCATCTGTACACACCCCTGTAACTACAGCTCAGATTAACCTTAGAACATTTCTAGCAGCTCAGGAGGCTCCCTGGTGTGCCTCCCAGTTAGCTTCCCCCAAAGGTAACCACTATTCTGGCCTCTGTCACCTCAATTAACTATTCCTCTTTTTAATTCATCTAAATATGTGCTCTTTTGAGTCTCATGTCTTTCAACTCTGTGAGATTCAACCACATTGAGGCATGTATCAAAGTTCTTTCCTTCTCATTCTGTGCAATAGTTTACCATAGAACATTCTATAATTTATCCATTTTACATTGACGGACATTTGGGTTGTTTCAAGTTTGGGTCCATTATGCATAAAACAGCTCTGGACATTATTACGTATGCTATGTAAATGAGTGAACATAAACACTTATTTCTGTTGGACAGATGACCAGAAATGGAACTGATAGGTCACAGCACAGACATATGGTTAGCTTTAATAGGCACAGCCAAAGAGTTTTCCAAAGTGGCAGCACCCATTTGCATTCCCACTGGCCAAGTATGCGAGTTCCAGTGGCTCCACATCCTCCCCAACACTTGGTTCTATCAGTCTGGTGGATGTTTAGCAGCACCTCATTGTGGTTCCAATGTACATTTCTCTGATGACTCATGATGGTTAGCACCTTTGTGTTTGTTTCTTGGCCATCTTGTGACATGACAGGAGATTTTAAAAGGGAAGATCAGAAAGCATCACCTTCCCTTTCCTCTCAGCAGACAATCTGACTCCTACTTTACAGAGAAGACGAAGTCTGTGGAGCTGTAGCTGCCCCCATGCCTGGCTGTATCACCACATTCTCAGTAGCTTCCATCACGTGTCCCTCCCTCTGCTCTTTCAGGAGAACAGGTGAACTCCTCTGTCAAGGGCTGTCCACCACATTCCCTCTCTCTGCTGCAAATCCCCAGCTGTGGGCTCCTTTCCCTCCACTGAGAAACCTGCTCAAGTCTTTCCTGTCCCAGCAACCACATAGTCACCACTCCCTCCCTCGACTCCAACACATGCCACAGGCCATGTCCTCTCTCCTTTCTCCCCTGGCTAAGTCCCGTGCTCACTGTCTACTCCTTCCCTCTCGTGGGCTTCCCTCCACACCACAGAACGGGTGCCACCGCTGCCACTTCAGGGACACAGCCCTCACACAGGCTGCAAGCTGTCCTCATCATTAAAGCCAACAGAGACATTTGGGCCCTCACCTTGCTTGACTGCTCACATTGCAGATGGCTGCTTTCTTCTTGGAATCATCTCACCCTTGACTTCCATGATCCACATTCTCTGCATTTCTTTTGGGTGCTGTTGCTTAAATTTCTCTGCAGACTCCTCTATTTCTTCAGGTTGGGGTTTCACCTATCTTTTTTTAACTCTACACATTTTTTCCTACGTAAATTCCACTCCGATGTCCTCAACTACCATCCATTTACTGAGGCAACTGAACC
The DNA here is from genome assembly GCF_000001405.40 of Homo sapiens. Taxonomy (NCBI): domain Eukaryota; kingdom Metazoa; phylum Chordata; class Mammalia; order Primates; family Hominidae; genus Homo; species Homo sapiens. Next base: position 92,121,612 of record NC_000015.10, on the reverse strand, counting down.
TCCACTACTACATATAATATCGATTATCATCCCAGAGACCCTTCTTGACCCCTCGGCTGAATACTGGACATCACTTAGATATGCTATGGGCATCTCACACTCAACAGCTTCAGGTCTGATCCAGAAACTTTGCATGGATCTGATTCTTCTTTGTTATTTCCAGTCTTTACAAATGGTACCACAAGCTCTCCAAGCCAGAAACCTGAGAGCCATTGTTGATTCTTCCCTCTTGTTTGACTGCTATGTCTGTTGCTGTTGTGTCCACTACTTATCAACATCTCAGCTGATTAACTCAACAAATGCAGCTTCCTGTCATTTGAAGTAAAGGATGATATATTGTCACAAAACAAAAAGCAAACTAAGACATGCTGCAGGACCACATTCCTTACCCTGCCTGAGCAACACTGCTTCTCATGAGTGCAAACTGGTTTTCTTTAGTATGTCAACTCTGAACAATTGGGAGTAGAAACCTGTAGTCTATGATTTAAAGAACTGTAAAGCCATGCCTGACCTTGGGGAGAAGGAGTGTCATGATCCATTAGTTATGTCTGTTGTGGGCACAGGGAGGAGTAGGGAGTGTATGGCTTCCAAGCTCTGCAGTTAACTATGGGTCTCATGCTGCCAAGAATATTCTTAACTTTATGTGGCTGATTAAAACCTGCTAACCTTTCAAGATTTATCCTTCTTCATCATAGCTTCCTCAAATTTCCCATTTCACACCCATCTATCGACTTACTGGCCTCTCAAATGTACATTTTATATTTTCACTCTTTATTATCATGTGCTTTTAGCAACTGATCCAGGCAGGCAAATCTTACTCTGAGAATATACTTTAAATTCCTTGTGCACAGAGGCCACATATATCTTGTTGCTGTAGGCCCAGAGCAGAGTGGGGTTCTTCAGCAGGGCTCAGTAAATTTTTAGTGCCTTACACACAGGACACCCTCCCCCGACCCTCTCAGGAGGCCTGAGGACACACTCACCAAGCAGCTGGTTGGCAGAAGAGGTGGTGAGGTTAAACTGCTGCTCCAGGTACTTCCCCAAAAAGGCAGCGAAGCCAGCCACCACTGCAATCTCCATGCAGGCGGCCAGGATGATGCAGGTGAACACAGGGTTTGAGAGCAGGTGCTTGGTGACCTTCGGGATCACTGCAGGGAGACAGAAGGCAGATGGTCAGGGTCAAGGTCACACCCTGTGCTCCCATCTTATAGCTCCCTGCTCCTAAGGCCCCTTCTTGGCCCGCTCTTGTCCATTTCAGCAAACAGCATCCAGAGGTACCCAGTTGCTAAGGCCAAAATCTACACCCCATAAGTCATCCATGATTGTGAAATCTCTGGCTTCAAAGCGTACACTGACATGTTGCCAATTACTATCTTCTACTAAAACAGGAGAGACTATACCAGGACTTTTCTTACAGTTCACTAGACACAGTAAAATTTTTTTAAAGCAATGTCAGAAGATATTTTCATCCTCTACTAACAGAGGGTTTGGGGTTTGTTTCTCAAAAGAAAAAAAAATGTGTGTGTGTGTGTGTGTTTATATAAAATAAAGTATAAATATCAATATATTTAAGTATATGTCAATATACCTATTGATGGATCTATATATATATATGTGTAAGAAAATATACTTAACAGTTTCAAGAAAGATATGAAATTCTTGTGCTCTCCAAAATGTGTACATGCCTAATAAAACCCCTTCTTGCCATCTTCATGGCTACCTCTCTGGCAAAATTTCCATCAGCTCTCACTTGGAGACCACCAGAGCCACCCAACTGGGGTCTTGGTTTTCACTCTTGATCCAATATAATAATTCCCTGAGTAGCAGTCAGCGAGATCAGCTCAAATCAGTTTCCTGCTCAAAACCCTGCAATGGTCAAAATCCATAGGCTGTGCCATGGCCCGAGGTCTGCCCCTCAGTGATCTGATCACACCCCCTAGCCCCTCCTCTTCCCACCCTCCAGTCCAGCCCCAGTGGCTCTGGCTGTTTCTCGCCTGCACCCAGGTCCACCCCACCCAGGTCTTTGTCCTTGGGGGTCTTCCCTATACAAGAATGCTCTGCCTGTAGATCTTTGCTGAATGTGTTTCCTTCTCCTTAGCGGGTCTCTTCTCATCACCCAGTCTACCCTAGAAGAAGCCTCCCACTCAGTCCTGGTGCTCAGGGCTTCTATGAAAGCTGGTGATGGGCAAAAGTGCTCTGAGGTTCATGCACCACTTTAAATAATGACAGAGCCGGAAAGCAGGAATTGTTGAGGTCTTGTACTTCATTCTTTCTTTATTTTACTCTATTTTTCTTAAAGCATGTGGTTTTATATGCCACTAAGACTTTCCCTTAAATTGGTGCTTTTAAAATAGGAGATTCATTTTTTAAAAATCCTTTGAAAACAAGCACATTATTTGGATATTCCCAGCAATCAGAATCATTGGCATGTGGTCTTCAGCCAAGTCTCCTAAATTATGGTATGACGTATCCTGGCAGTGTACAAGAGAGCTCTGGGGCACCAGGACAACCCTGTCATTTCAATATTTGTGCCATGATTTTAATATGTCCTTACAACAAAGCTGAAATACAGCTGATACATCGAATGCGTGGTTTCATGGCTGTTATGGCTTAAGACACTGCTAGGCTACAAAAAGTAAGTAGATTTAAAGTTATTTAAAGAGAAGTCTTAAGTGCATAATGGTTCAGGTGGAATGCAAATAAAGCAAAAATTATAGAGGTGGTTTCCCAGAGACTAGACTAAAGTTAGGGAAGTCTGTGCTGCTGCGATCATAAAGTGTGGAGTATCTGACATGCAGTTTACTTGTTTCCACCTATGCAAACAGAACAGATAAAACACAGAGTCCCAGAGGAAGGAGGTACTACACCACGTCTAGGAAAAACTGATCAGTGCCGTGGTGGCATGCAAAATAAACAGGTGGGCAGGGAGTCTCACACTGCATTCCAAGGTGATGAATTAGCCAGCTGTCCTAAAGAAGAGAGCTAATTATCAGGCTCAATCTCATCTCGTAGGAGATGAAACCTCTAAGCGGCCCAACTCATCAGAATAAAATAATAATAGGGGATGCATAAGTTTTTAATAATGTTAACAGACAAGCTCAATAAGTCAAGAACTGGCAGATATACAAAACTTAGAATTTACCATTTCCAGGAATGGTATCAAGTTTCAAGAATGAAAATCTACACAGAAGATCAGCATCTTAGGGTTCTTTGACATAACAAAAAGAACTTAGTTATGCAAATGGACTGAGCCAGATGACCAAAAGCTTGGAATTGGCAAAGCCTGAGCAACCGAATCCTGTGTTATAACCAGATGATAACCAGAGCTGGTGGCCTTGGCTGTTCTGTGGTGGTTCCTTGTAAAATTCCTGAAACATTAGAAAGGCAACTCTCTGATGAAATAAATGCACAAATAAAAATAACACTTTTAAAAGGCTATGAATAAGAATAAAGATAATAAGAAAACAACTTCAAGTCCATTGTATTAATACACTTATACCCTCCTCGATTTTAAGTGTACTGGTCTTTATGTGTGTGTTTTGTCTATTTTTACAAGGTTTAAAGCATTTACCATCATCTGAATTTTTAGAAATATCATTTCAAATAAATATTTAGAAGTGTTTACCTTTATAACACCTATATGTAAATGTTGGGAAATTTTCCTGTGTTAAATCCACATTATGTTTAAAGTATGGTACAAATATTTAGAGTAATCCTGACTGTGAAATATTTAAATATGTGGATTGTTCAACAAATACAGATGAATTCATTGGGCATAAACAGAGGACAATGAGGTAAGCATTTATCTTCATGTACAGAAGCCCCTTGGATGTTACAAGTCTATCCTCATAAATCACTATGAATGAGTGAAATCTGATTTGCTATACTGTGTGGCACGTTCTGATGGTGTAGTGTACCTGTGGCAGGAGACCTGTCGGCCATGCCACACAACAACAAGTTTCACAATGTAGTAAGAACAGTATGGATCACGTCGGGTTATAACAGCGCCTCCTTGTAATGAATACATTTGAATGTCCCGGTGGTTTATGTGTTTTGGCAAGTAATAACGCCATTTCTCAATCACAGTGCTCTTTTGGAATAAAGATATCTAAATTCTGGAAACATTGCCAATGTCAAATAGGCAGGCTGGGGACATTCCAGGAAAACGATCCTCTGCCGTGCTTTCACTGTAGCCTTCATTTTTTTCATTAGGGTGCAGAATCTTCAGAGTCTAGGACTCCTGGAGAATAAAGCATCACAGCCACGCTTGGTCACAAGTAAAACTGCTGCCGGGCTGAGGCTGATACCTCCAGCATTTGCTGATTAGCAACTTTGCTCTTTGGCTCAGAAATGACACTGATGATGATTTCAGTTTTATCACATTATCTATTTAGGTCCTGGTATCTCCCTGTCCTTGTTCAGAGTCATCATGATTTGTTTGGGGATGAGGAAGGCACTGTTCAACAAAGGCAACTCCGGTTAATGGAATGCTTTTATACTTCAGCAAGCAATTTAATTATTCTGGAGATAATTCCACTTCAGCGGGAAGGATTCCTTGTCAAGATAGAAGTCTGCCTGCTTTTGTCTTAATATCTAATAACTAATTTCTCCTTGAATTAGATGTGAAAAATCATTAGGTTTGAGAATGATTTGACTGAATCATTTGACTTGAGGAAGCCTTAGTGGGCCTTATTTGCATGAAGAACATTCTTTTTTTTTCCCTCTACCAAGGCAACTTGCCTCCAGAAATGACAGTTTCCTCTTGGGTTCGCTATTTCCTTCCAAGTTCTTCCTCCCATCCCCAGTTTTATTGCAATGACTTGCAGCACCCTCAAAAGATGATTGCTTTTCAAAGGTTCAGCCTACCTTCCAAAACCCTAGTTTGAGAAGGGCTATTAATTAGTTTGCTCCTAGGGCCAACCCTGTGTTTCAAGCTTTTGCATTCAAACAGATTGTTAAGCCTATAAAATTCTGACTTTTTAAGGAGGCAGCAGCTAATGGGGCGGCCCAGGCAAACAGAAACTGGTGAACCAAGGCCACACCAGGCCATTGAACACCTGCAGACTCTCTTAGCCATGTACCCCCCGCCTACCGATTTAGCCTCAGAACTTGGGAGCTGGAGGTGGGAGGTAGGCTGGCTTGAATTATGCAGCCTCACCAGCTGGAGAAACCTTTTCAACTCTCATTAGGAGCTTGGTACTGTCACCAGCAAGATGACACAAAGGTGGAAAGAGCGGCAGGAGAGCGGTCTCTAGGGAAAACAGGTTTTCTACTGCTAGTCTTTAAGAGATTCCTGTAGGATTAAGAGTTCTTGGAAACTTATGGGTCCTTCAGGACGGAGAAAGGCAGATTTTGGAGGAGTCATGAAAACTAACGTTGACAGAGCATTTCCTTTGTGCAAAAATGCCGTTCTAAATGCTTACCTATCTGCTCCCACAATGCTCACAGCAAACCTGTGATCTTGGGACTATTAAATCCCCCATTTACAGATGAAAAAGCTGAGGCAGAGAGAGGTCCCATGGTTAGAGCAGCACAGCAGAAACTGAAACCCTGGTACCTGCTGCCATGGCATGTGCTTGTCACCAGTATGCTACTCTGGTCTGGCTTCTGAGCTGCTCTTGGTTTGAAGATTAAGCATGCAGGCCACTCCTGGTAGTCAAAGGTGCAGCTTAATTCTAAGAAATAATGATAGTAATAGCAATAATAATAATAAAAAATTTCTGCCTAGGTTGGGGAAAATGACCAGATCTGGCATGGATCTGGGACTTAGTCCATTTTTTTTTTTTTTTTTTTTTTTGAGGGAAGAGAACTAGGGAAGAGAGGGAGGGAGAAATATTAATAAAAGGAAGAAAGAATTGTAGAGCTGAAAGAGGAGGCTTGTACTGTAGAAAAGGTTTTGCTGAATGAGGTTGTATAAAATAATGGCTAAGAACCTGGTCTAAGGAGTCAGGTAATCAGGATTGAATTCTGGCTTCAAGGCTTTAGTAGATGTGGAAGTGACTGGAGCACAGAACTCCACCCCACAGACTGCTATAAAGATGAAATGAGACCCAAGTGTGTAAAGCATGTGGCCCAGTGTCTCTGGCACACAGGTGTGAGCTCAGTAAGAATAATAATAATTAATATAAAAGAAGTGATCCACGGTCAAGTCATGGAGGAAACCCTCAGGCTCCTTGTCATGTGTAGTGTTCCTCAGAGCCATGGGGATACACGACTTGCTGCAGATGTATCTGTGTGCGCTGCTTGGTGAGCTAGCAGAGAAGGGAAAGAAGGTGAAGTGGGGCAGCCATAGCCATGGAGAAAGTGGGCTGGGCTGAGTTCCTGGGCCATCTCTGTGGTCAAGAAGAGCTCCTACCTCCAGAGGGCCAGGCAGCAGGCCAGGTCAGGAAGCAATGTACTTGTCCATGGCCTTGGTTTCCATGTCCAGTTCCCCGGAATTGAAGTTGCCCAAGGCAGTGGTTATCATGGGGCTCAGTGTACCTGCTGGACTCTCGGTGTATTTCTGCTTTCAATCTTCTCTACTGAAGTTGGCCTTGACTTTCTTTTCCTTTGATAACATTGCTGTCAACACACCACTGTCACGGCTCCCAAGAAGGGGAGATGAAGCTAATGCATGCAACTGCTCAGTAATTACAATGGTAGCCAATGCTTTTTGGGTTATCGTCTTAACATTATCATTCCAGACATGAGAAAACCAACGCTTCATTGAGAGGCTATAAATTCCACCTTGCCCAAGAATGCAGAGCTGGGAGGTGAGGGAGGGTGGATTTGAACTAAGGTCAGCCTGAGCTCCAAAGTCCACGTGCTTAACATTCAGGTATTTTGTGGGGACTTGAATCTATAAAAGTTGTTTTTCTGAATGTTGAGTTGCCATGAGGAGCTTCCCAACACATGAGACCCACAGACAGAAGAGAACAGAGAGCAGGGAGGTCTTAGATGAGATAAATGACAGTCTTCAAATCATAACTTAAAAAAAGGGAAAGAGGAAGAAATAATAAAAATGTAGAAAAATACTGTGACGGAAGCATGGGTGTGAATCCAAGGTGGGGTGACCCCTAGGAGAAACGGTGTCACGGAATAGCATCAAGGTTTAGCAACCACCGAGTTGGTTGCTAATGTGCCCCGTGCAGGCTGGATGCCCTTGCCTGAGTCCTTCTCATCTCCCAAGCCAGAAGCCACGTGGGACCAAGGATGGAGCAGTTCTGTCATTAGATGTGAGCACCACGCCCCGTAAGAGCAGACACTTAACAAACTCAAGGGGTATTAAAGAATCTAATAAATAAATTTTAAAATGAATGAATGAATTGCAAAGCTTTGAAGGGTAACTGTTATAGCCTCGTAAGAAACACTAACTGAGGCAACAGAAAAAAACTTATGAACCAACCATCAGTGACATGCCACAGGTTCACTGTCTGGGTGGAAACATATTCAGACCCTTGCTTATACAGTCAGGGGGAGCTTATTTGTTAAGTCAGTTCCCTGCCATTACATGCCCCCTGCCTGTACAAATGCAGGAGGACCAGCTCTGACCTGTTGGCCCCCAGGGGAGATCAAAGAACGCCCCCATTGCTTCTGGCATTCATGTGCAATTGGGAGTTCACAAAGAATCATCTAGGAGGCTTTGAAAACCTACAGATGCTTGGACCCCTTCTCTACTCACAGAATCAAAATTCCCGGGCTGTGGCCCACAAACAGGGCGGTTCAAGAAACTCCACAGGTGATGTTGACTCAAACTCCTGGCCTATGGGGGCAATAATCCAGAATGTCAGTCTCTTCTTCATTTACACTGTCGATTCTGGAGGTGTCTAAGCCATTCCCTTGCGTAGGGGTAGAGGAAAGCCCAGGTGGGAGAGGAGGCCTGCAGTGTCTGGGAGTCTTCTAAAAGCAAGTGCCTGCCACACACTGGCCCCAGATGGGGCAGCCTCCGGCCCCAGCTTCAGACCCACCATGGTTTCATTGCTGCGGATGAACTTGCCTCCTAACCTCTGCCCTGGGCTATTGAGGAGCCCATGGGAGCGCTTCCTAGCACCTTCTCTTTGCAAGTTTGAGAGAAGCAGCTACTGGGTTTCCTTTTGACCATCCTCTGGAGATAAGAGGCAGAGGGTAGTGCTTCCTTTGCACCTTGTGGCTTGAGTGAACAAATAAATGATCAGCACCAGAAACGAGCATTTAGAATGAAATCCCAATGTTAGCTGGGTGCGGGCTGGCGGGGATAACTCCCCCATCAATTCTATTGATTCCTTTAAGGTCACCAACGCTTCATAACCCCACCAAGAAGGCCCAAGAGAAAAAGTCATGTGGCTGCCCATTAGCCAGTTTAAAGCACGAAGCAAGTGTCTGCAGAGGTGCAGTTAGCTTCCTGCAAGCTGCAGCTCCAAATTGGTGTCGCCCCAGTCATTTCCGTCCCTCTGGAGTGTGAAGTCAGAAAAACGCAGGCTCCGCTCGGGATCACAGAGATGAAGAAAGGAGCCTGGGAGGCAGCAACGTCTTATTCAGACCCAACATGGTGTCTTTCCAGGTCAGAGGTAGCAGAGAGAAAAAGACTAAGGGAATAGGCTTTTGTAAGCAAACAACTGCTTTCACTACTCCAGGCCAGCCCCTAAGAACCTTCTTTGGGAGAGTGGTGGCCACCTCCATGGCAGCAAGGCTGACTGCATTTGGCATTCATGAAAACTCCAACAATGGAGGCATTCACCCTGGAAAGCCTGGAAAGAGAAATACTGACATTCATAAAAGAAACAGTGGGGGTGAAATACCCGATGGACATAAATACCCATCTTTAAGCCTAGAGTTCCTGATGGTATTTCCTCAAGTGTTGAGTTTACAGCAGCCCTTCTCAGAGCCTTCATGCGCTAAGATATCACTTATGAATCTCCACAAGGATCACAGTGTCTACGGTGTCCCAAGCTTATTTGGTGAGTGAGTCCCCTGCCATTACATGTCCCCTGCCTGTACAAATGCAGGAGGACCAGCTCTGATCTGTTGGCCCCCAGAGGAGGCCACTCAAAGAACCCCCCACTGCTTCTGGCATTCATTGGCAATTGGGAGTTCACACAGAATCATCTAGGGGGCTTCGAAAACATCCAGATGCTTGGACCCCTTCTCTACCCACAGAATCAGAATTCCTGGGCTGTGGCCCACACACAGGGTGGTTCAAGAAACTCCACAGCTGATGCTGACTCAAACTCCTGGCTGGGAAACAAGGGCTCCTCAGATAAAGTCCAGATGCTTCAGAAGGGCAATGCTAAGGCTTTCAATAACTCATTCATAATTTCACAAAAGCCTCCACGAGCAGCTTCAGATACCAGGAACTGCTGGTGTGGGAGCAGCCCCTAGTCTGCCTTCCAGCATGACCTTTTCTAAAACCAGACGTCTAGCTCCCAACAGTGTCTTGGGCATTCCTGTCCATGTGTCTCTGCTCATCCCTGTCCCCCATCCCAAAGCTCTTCTCTCTCCATCCACGGGGATCCTGCTCATCCTTCCAGACTGGGGTGAAATGCTACAATCTTTAATCAAGTATCTCCAAGTCCCCTCTCTCTGGTCCTCAGTTCATCCCTTTGAACCTCCTGTGAGCCTTTCCACTTTCTACTCTGTATTCTGGAAGCATTAGCCAAGTAGCTACAGTTAATGTGACTGAAACAGTTCTGAGTCACATATGTTTCAGAAGTATGAATCTCAGAGAGGATCAAACAGCACACAGGTTCCCAAAGTTATTTGGCCATGTAACCATTTCCCCATCCTTCTGTTATTGCTGCTGTTGATTTGTTTTTCCCTGAGCATCTCAAGGGACCCTCATTGGGAAATGCTGCCTTCTAATTATTTCCTTCATTCTTTCATTCAACACGCACTCCAGGAATATCAACAAAGTGCCAGGCATCATGCTAGGCACCCTCACATGGTTTGTCTCAGGAGCTTTGCTGAAATAACTTGAGAAGTGCAGCTGTAGCTTATCTATGGACCTATCCCTCCGGTGCTGTCCACAGCAGGTCCCCTATCAATCAATATTGATAAGAACTTAAGCCAGTGACCAGTCTGGTCCGTGGGGACCTATAAAAACAACTCCTGTGACATGGCAGAATGTAAATCACAGCCTGGCACAGGATTCCAAGCATTTGGGAGGGCATATGGTCTCCTTCACCATGGAATCAGGAAAGAAAAACTTTAACAGGAAATCCACACACAGGAAGAACATGGTTCTGAGGACAGAGTGCATGATTAAAAAAAAGTGCTCAGCTGGTTACCGGCAGAACAAGGACTCTCAGATCACCAGGCTCCTCATGATAACATTATGCTGAAAGGCACAGGATTTTAATTAAGAAAAACATAGCAGAAACTGACTGCTAGATGGTAATGGATGGAGGAGGCTGAGATGCAGAAGCATGAAGTGGGTCCTGTGGCCAGGCCTGAGCTATGGAGAGGCATGAGCTGGGTCATGTGGAGAGGCATGAGCTGGGTCCTGTGGACAGGCAAATCTGTGGCTCCTGCTGAACTGTGGGAAGCACAGTGGTGGGGCGGGGGTGAATGTGCTCCCTGACCAAGATGTAAAGCACCTGCCAGAAGATGGACAAGCGACAACATGAAGCCCAGAGTCCCCAGGGCAAGTCAGTTTTGGCACCAGGGCTGGCACATCCTCTACCATTCAGCAGCCAGGGTGCCAGAAGCAGACCCTCTCCAACACAGGTAGTCACATGTGGGCTGGTGGTGGCACTCAGGACACCTGAAGCTCTTGCCAAGTCTATGGATTGGTCAAACACAGGCCAAAACCCTGAGTGGGAAGTAGGGGGCAGGGGAGCTTTAGGGAAAGCGGCAATCCATTTACTCCCTCCCCTATCACATAGCAGGCACTGAGCACCTGCTGTGTACCAGGACATGAGAAAAAACAACTGCAGTCCCTGCCTTCATGAAGCGTACAGAGTAAGTGAATAAAGGACAATTATTCACACATATAAAGGAAAATTATGATGTGCCTTGGAAGGGGTACCACCAGGTCAGGAAGATGTTCCTAAGAAATGACACATGAGCTGATGTCTGAAGATGAAATGAGAATTCCAGTAGAGGGAACGAATGCAGAGTCCTAGGAGGAAAGGAGCCTGGGGTATAGGGAGAACTGAAAAGAGACCAGTGAGGTGGGCGTGGAGGGAACAGGGCATGACTGGCATGAGAAGGGTTTGGAGGGACTCAGAGACCATGGAAGGACTTTGTCTCCATACCTTAAAGCAAGAGGCAGTAACTTGATCAGATGTGTTCTGAAAAGATCACAGCATGGACAACAGCCTGGAGGGCCCAGGGCATGCTGGAGTGTGGAGTGTTACCTTGTTAATGTTAACAAGGACTCTCAGATCAACAGAGATCAAGGGCAGGCTGGAGAGAGACTTGGGTGGCAAAATCAGCTGAACTCCAGGATGGACTGCATTGCTGGAGGGGAGGGGAGGTTACAAGGACCCAGGAGGATCTCAGCTCCTCAAAAGGTGAACCTTCTCTAGAGCTTGGGCTCTGCATGGCCTCTTTTGGAGGGGGGAAAGGCTGAGCAGAAGTGTACGTTTCTCAGACACAGGAAGGGCTTTGTTACACGGGCCCCAGCCTGATTCCCTTTCTCCTCTTTCGTCAGTTTATGAACAATTTAGTGAACCCTTACAGGAAACGGGAAAGAGCACGGGATTTGGAATCTGGAGAACTAGGTCCAGCCCAGCCACGGGAATCTAAGTACCTGGTTTAACATCACTCACCTCTCCCTGTCTCCCCAACCGCCTGCCAGCCTTGGTGTCCTGATCCCTGATCAGGACAGAGGTAAGTAACATAACCACCCCATCAGCCACCTGTGGGGGCCAAATGGGAGGTCGACGCCAGAGCTCCGGAAATCATAACTCATCTCCTAGATTTGGGTGGTGGCTTTGAAGACTCTGAGCCTGAGGCCCCAGCCCTGCCCACTCAGCTGGCACCTGCTATCTTTTCTGGGACAGGAAGAGACCACTTGGCAGTCAGCATGAAGCGCTCAGTGACAAGAGTGCTCAGCTTTTGATTGCCCTCTCTTTCAGTGATCAAAGGCAGGACTCTCCCTTTGGATTTTAAACCTCTGGTGCGGTTACACTCATCCCAGCTAGAAAACCTGGCAGAGGGTCAGGACAGGCCAATGGTTGCAGGGAGTTGGTTCTCCCCTTCCTTTTAGGCTGCAGCTGTGTCTGGAAGACCCATCTTTTTAGGGGACACCTGTGCTGTTGCAGCCAGCAGCCGTACTTCTAGTACACTCTGCTAAGAAATCAGTCAGCACCTGCTGACGCCACTTATTCTTTAAGAGAGTGTCCGTTTACTGTCAGAAGTGGCAGCATAATGCCATGGTTAAAAAGACAGACACTGGAGCCTTCGCCCGGGTTCAAATGCCTTTCCCTTCCATCTACAAGCCTCACTTGCCTTACTGGTAAGTGGTACCGATGCCTCCTAAGGTTACAGGGATGAAATATGACAGTGCACAAAAAACAATCATTACCTGCTATCTGTGCATGCGTCCATGTCTATACATACATGCAGGCTTGCAAGAAAGTATTCATTTATTACTTCATTCAACCAGTATCACCTACATGCTATGCACTGTTCTGTGCATTGGAAATGAACAGATGAACTGCAGCTTCATCCCTGGAAAATGCATAATCTTTGGACAGATACAGACAAGCAAAGAGACTGCCATGGTAATGTGTTCCCAGGTGCTTTGCAGGGATTCTGTGGAACTCAGAGGAATGCAGCTAACCTAGCACCGGGTACACAGGGGCAGGTACACAGAGGGGCTTTGGGGGGCTTCCTGGGGAGGTGAGAAACAGTCCAGCCCAGAAGTGAACTGAAGGAAGAAGGGCATTCCAGGGAGAAATAGCAGCAAACAAGAGACTGCCTGATGCATTCCAGGAACTGTACAGAGCTGGAGGGAGAAGGCAGATGGACATGCGGCTGCAGAAGAGACCCTCGTCATGTCCATCAAGGCCTCTCAGGGCAAGAGATGCCGGAGACAACTTACAATGGAGCACAAAACTGTGGAGATGATATTTAATACACTATCTGATGATGATACTGTACGTATGTCTATTACAGTCCCTCAACTTCTTCCCTCCAGGTGTAGCCTCTCAAAAGCAATTCTGCAAATTCTGAGCATTTGCTAGATTCAGCACACTAGGTGCAGTCTTGCCCACACACGGCTTACCATGTAGGAAAGGGGAGGAGAGGACACAAGAGGACGAATGTGAGGTGTGTAAAAAACAGGCTGTCCAAAATGCAAGATCAGGGAGGAGCAGAGCCAGAGCCAGGTCTTAAAGGAAAAGTTATTTGGTGGCGCAGCTGAGAAGTAAAAATGTGCCTTGGCTCGGCCAGCCCCCACATCGGGGAGATACTGGAGTTTAACAAACCCAAGCATTTGTTCATCTGCTTCCTGCATGGTAAGATGGTTATGGGGCTGTTGCTATAAGATGGGGACTTCCAGGCTGACCTGGAGCAAGACTCCGGGCTTTCCATCTCTCAGCTTTGGATAAGGGTTGTAAAACCCAATTGATGGCTGACTGTTGGAAGCAGACCTCTGCAGCCCGCTTTTTTTAGGGGAATGTTCTGAAAATCGAACCACAGACTCAAATCCCCATATCACCAGCTTGGTTTTCTCATCTATAGACAGGAATAAACAGTGACACTGACCTTACACAGCTTTTGTAAAGACTAAACCAGACACCATATGTGAAAGCTGAGAGGAGTTAAGTGATGTGGCCAAGGCTGCATGATTAAGAAGCGACTGAGCTGGATTTTAACCCAGGTGGATCTGCCTCAAAGCAGACAGCCCCCTTCTCTCCTAGAAGCAGGAGAAGACTCTAAGTTCCAGAGAAGAGGGGGCTGGAAGGGCTCTTCCTGGCATAATGCCAGCTCTTATCAGGGGGCCTTTGCTGTCTGCAGAGCATGGCAGGGGGCACAGATTGATGGCCAAAGAAGAAACCCATTTGGAAGCTCAGACAAAACGGATGAGAAATTGCAACATGGGGTTTTAGGAGCAATGTCAGTTCTATGTATACATGCAACGCCGTTCAGCTTATTGAAACCCACAAATGTGTAACACACTGCATGTATATAGCACTGCATTTGCAGCGTGGGTTTTCCAGGATGCAAACTGGATGAAGGGTTTTGGAATGCCAGGGTGCACTGCATGGTGCTTTTGGTGGAAAAGCTCGTATAGCAAAAACATGTGTCTCGCATGGAGAAATAAATCATGTAAACGACTGTGGCCCCACTTCATGCACTGGCATGTGTAAAATGTGTTTATTAGCATAATAGCTCATTTCACTGTATTTTGGCTCTTAAGGAATCTTGCAGAAACACTTTCTTCTTTTCCTGTTGAGACATCCTTTTAGTCCATTATGGGCCAATTGCCTCTGGGAATTGTTAATTCTAAATTAAAATCATTAACCATCAGAAGTGAAGCCTGTGCGTATACAGATCACAATTTGTAATCAATATGGCCTCGCGGGTCCCAGACTTGTCTACCTGACTGTGTACTTGTCAGCTCAACGGCAGCTCATCCAGTGCTTGCTTACCTTGTCATTGCTCTGAGCTTGCCTATTGCACCCTAGTGGAACATAAGCTCCAGAATATAAGTCAATTTAGTCAAGGCTGTGCTTAGCACCGAGTAGGGTCTCAGTAACTACCAATGGAATAAAACAAATGAGTTAATGAGCGACTGAATCATGACCCAAGAATGCTTAAGCCATAGCAGGGCTCAAGACTTGGCTCAGCTCTGCCGCTGACCCTTTCCTCACCCGTGACTCCCAGCCCAGGAGCGGTGGGCTTCTCTCTGCCTCTTTGCTGCATTTCTGTAACCACCTGTGCTGCTTGTTATTGCGGTTCTCAAAACACTGGGCTGCCTTTGCTGACTTGCAGACCTGGTCCTGTGTGGGATGGTGAGTTCTCTGATGGCACCATTGTATCTTTTTAATCTTTTTATTCCCAGAGATGAAAGACAAGTGATTACTAGTGCAGCTTTTACAATCAGAGCCCTAGGGAAACAGGGTCATCATCCCGAGGTGGGGAGCAACCTGAAAATACTGTAGTCGCCCATGGCCAGGATGTCCTTTGAAAGCCACACTCTCATGCCTGCCCAATTTATTCCTAGGGGTCTAGTTACCAGGACACTTTCTATGGATGGCTATTAGGGGAGTCTCAGGCATCACTCTCCTGCTACTAGGGGAGTCGCAGGCACCCTCCTTGCCTGGGGCCTGCTGGAAGTGAGCCTATTTTATTAAGCACACGTGCATGAGGACGGGGGCATTCCAACCAAGGCAACCTTAGAGGACACAGATTGGCTGGCCTTCTCATCTACCGGTGCATTCTGGAACTTAAGTTTTATGGATGATTCCAAATTACAGCATTGGTAGAAACCATCATGGAACATGGGGCCAGACATAACATTACGATATTAAATTTGTCTCTTTTCAGAAATCGCACAAGTTCTTGAGATTTCTCATGGACTAACAGGTACGATTAACAGACAGTCTTCTGCAGCAGTGCTTTCATTCTTGAGACAGCACTGGCAGTGAGGAACTGTGTTATTACAGTTTTACATTCGTGGAAAAGAAGCAGGGGGCAGTTAATGATCGCAGGGCTGGTGAGGAACAGAACAGGGGGCTGAGCACAAAGCAGTTCAAGCTTCTCTCCACAAATCTCTAGCATCTCTATAGAAGGCGCACATTGTTACACAGAAGTTTAGTAAACAGACTTTCACTGCTAGGAAATGTCTAAATAAAGCACAGGAGGACTGCATCTGCCGCTGTGGAAGGCTGGCCCGGCTGAGTGCCGCATTCCTGCACAGAGGGGACTGACCATCTCCCTTCTGCATCCCAGCTTCCCTGGGAAGTAGTGCCTGACCTTGCTCCTGGCTGCATGAGCCCACTCATTTCTAAAATCCAGCAGGACGTCAGGGGAGCTGAGCAAGGAGTCGTGTGCATTAAGGAACCTCACACATACCTCGCCTGATAGTCGCCGAGCAGCTTCTGAGACTGCCAGGCTACATTCAGCTCCTTGTCATTTTCCTCGTCTTTAAAGGATTGTGCCGAAGATGGAAACAACTTGGGCGGTGGTGGTGGAGGGGGGTTCTCACTCTGCATCATTGTTTGTGCTTCACCATTTTGTCAGAAAAGTTGCACTTTTTTTTCTTTAAAAAATGATAGCAAGAGCTTTGCTGCATCCTAAAGTGTGACTGTGTCATTAAGACTGGGTTAATATTTCTTTCTGCAGGAAAACATCTCTCATCTTTAGTGGAGACAATGAAAGGACAAAGTGAATGTAAAGAAATGTACTTTGAAGGTGGCTTTTTTTTCTTTTGAGATGAGAGTCTTGCTGTGTCACCCAGGCTGGAGTGCAGTGGCTCAATCTTGGCTCACTGCAACCTCTGGTGAGCTTGAACCCAGGATCAAGCGATTCTCCTGCCTCAGCCTCCCGAGTAGCTGGGATTACAGGCACATGCCACCAAGCCCGGCTAATTTTTGTATTTTAGCAGATATGGGGTTTCACCACGTTGGCCAGGCTGGTCTCAAACTTCTGACCTCAAGTGATCCACCTGCCTTGGCTTCCCAAAGGGCTGGGATTACAGATGTGATTACACCGGGCGCGGTGGCTGGGATTACAGCCACCGCGCCCGGCTGGAGGTGGCTTTTCAAAGAATGCTGATATCAGGCAAAGGAAGCCAACTTCAAAATTCCTTTATTGCTTCCAGGTGCTTATGGGTGGCCTGAAAGAATTCAAAAAAGCTCCACAGAATATTTTGCTTCCTTCTGAAGACATTTATGTTTATTAAATGTCAGGTCCTATATTAACCACTGGGTCCCTTTAACAAATGGTAGCTACTTTATTTTTGTTTTTATTAAGCAAGTCAGGTTATTTACTTCTCAGGAATAAGTTAAGCACCTGGCTGGTAGAGGCCAGCCATGCAAGCCAATATTATTCTGCCTCCACCAAGTCCCCAAGCACCCCAGTCCTGGGTGCCACCCCTTCATTCATCACCCCCATCCCAATCCCCCTACTGTTCTGAGCAGAGGCAGATGAGGCCACCTTTACCTCTCAGCTGCTGGAAACAGGAGGCACTGCTGTCTGGCTCCAGGGGGTGCCTCAGGACCCCGTTGCTGGGCTTGGGTCTCTCGTATTCTCTTTCGGAGAGCATGGCCTGCTCGCTTTCCATGGCGGGCTCTGAGTGCGGGGGCAGGGACTGTGGAAACCCAAACATCAAGAGGGAAGAGAAGAAGAGTAAGGCACCGCAGAGCAGAAAGCCACCCCACCAGGCTCCGATCCAGCGGGGGTCGTCCGGAGTGATGTCCAGGTTACCTGTAAATGGAAAGAGCACAGCTTAGTGGAGAAAAGAAGGCTGGACCACTGGGGATTTTGCTGAGAATCTGAATCCGCTGAACAGAGAGGGCAAGGGCTCTAGAAATGACTTGCGGTCGGGAACACTGGCTGCCAGGCTACGAAGCCTATTGTTCCACACCAGCGGTTCTGTTTCTCTCAAAGCCGGAGGCTGATCACATTCCCCCCTTAATTTTCTTGTCTACCCTGTGTTTATATCGGTCTAAACAAAAACAGTGAGAAGCCAGACGTTCTCTGAATTTAGGCTAAAACTGGCTTGGCAGCACTGCTAAGGTGTACTGAAAGAAGCACAAGGAAATGTTTATTGTTCAGAGGTAGATTTTCACCGGGTATATTCACTCTTGGCTTCCAAAAAGCAGCTCACACGAGATCCCACTCAATGCCCCACTCACTGCCTCAATTTAGGTTCACAGCTCATAAGGGGAGGCGCACAATAGGGTTTTAGAGCAGGGCCTCTGAAGCCAGGCTGCCTGGGTTGAAGTCCTACCCCTTTGTCTCTGTGTGACCCTAGGCCAGTGGTTTGAACTCTCTATGCCTCAGTTTACTGATCTGTATAACATCTAGGATGATGGCAGTACTTAGTGGGAAGATCAAATGACCACACCAGACATAAAATGCTCAGAAGAGTGCCTGGCGCATGCTTGGGCACCCAGATGATGGTAGCCTGTTATTTATGGTGAGGGGCCTTTGTTTCCATGCATTAATTAATTAATTAATGCCAACTTTGTTGGTGGCCTGTGGTTTGGCACCAGCTCTCTAATACAAAGCTTTGCAGTCAACTCATGTGCTTAAAGGGGCTATGCATATGGTTTGGTGGCACTGTACCACTATTTCTTTTATTGTGCCAGCTAAGTCACAAGAACATAAACTTCAGCTTACCCTTTGGTACAGTTTTTTTCTTTCTCTCTCTTTACACCTGCCTTGTACAGCACAGCTCCCAGGTGAGCTGCTTAGAAATGTCTCTTTGATAATAAACCATGCCCCTGGAACATGGAAGGAGAACTGGGGAGATCTGGGCAATGGTGTATGAGGTAAGACCAACAGGGCTGCAGGCCTGGACCAGATGGATGGACAGCTCTGGGAAGAGTAATGACCGCACACACCAGATGAACACTTCAGCACTCATAAAATGTTCTCCCTGAAGACTCCTCAGCTAGCATTAATGATAAGGCCAGCCATCGTTTATTGAGGGCTTCCTCTGCACCAGGCATTATGCAGAGCACATTCTTAACTGTTCCAGCCAACCTTCCCCATAACTCTACAAGGCAGGACTTTTATTATCTGTTTTCTATAGATGGAGTAACTGAGGCTTAGAAAGGTTAGGTTCGTTGCCCAGGTTCATGGGGCTGAAGAACGGAACACAGGTATACACATGCCAAGGTCCACGCTCTCACCTTTCTGTTCCACTGCCCCTCTTCAATGTCTGTTTTTGGGCTCTCTGTAGGGCCCGAGGTGAATGATCAATTCCTGCTCTTTGTGCCATGAGCCTAAGGCCACCAGCTCTTCCAGTAGGTAGCAAGTGGCCTTTGGAACACTGGTAGTCACTGTCCTGGAGATGCTGACATACACCCAGCGCAACAATAGCACTACAATGGACCAGATGTTTCTGCATAGCTACATGCTGGAGAGGGGACAGTGTAAGCCTGGAGTACTTGGGGGCCGAATCCCAGCTCTGCCACTTACTAGCATGTGACACTGGGCAGATTACTTACCCTCCTTGAGTCTTAGCTGCATCATTTGCAAAATAAAGACAGCTTCAACCTAGAGTGGTTGCAAGGATGACAGGCAATGAGCAAGAATCACCTGATGCACAGTAGGCTCTTTGTATAGAGAGAGATCTTGTTATTCTCACTTTTATGTACATATATGTATATAAATGAGAATCTCAAAATAGGGATCTTTTTAAAAAAGGGTACAGCATGGGAAAACACAAGGTGATCTTGAAAGCATCTTTATGCAAATGAGGGAAGACACAAGGAAGTGAAATTGCCTCTGGTAGCTGAACAGGAATATTTTCACTAGTCACTTACTGTGTTTCTTCACCTGCTGCCAAGCAATGAATGAAAACAAAAGACAGCAAAAGGGAGCTGAAGTATTTCCCTCCATTGTCTCCAGGCTCCATAAAGGGGGAATTGAAAAGCTGGCAGATGTGAGCGGGTAAAGAGAGAGAAATCCTAGCAGTTGTTTGGGGGAACAAAATTAGAAAAGTCATATTTTAGTTAGGAAGTTAGTGACTCTGTTGTTCTAAGTGTGAGAAAACAACCCAGGGAGAGGGATGGCGATGGGGGAGGTGGTGGTTTGTGTGAACGTGTCAACTTGCTTCCTGTAGGTATGTGTATGTCTGGGGAAAGCTGACGCTGGCTCACAGTTTGAAAGATGGGGAAGGGCACGTCACCTGTGTCAGAACCAAAGCCCGCCTGCCACCCGGGCAAGTACAGGAGACGGGGCCTGCGTGAAGGTGGTGGACAGCAGGATTCTGTAGATCCAAGACACTCATCACTGACTATTTTGGGAAGTATTGATTTTTTTCTCCATTTCAATTATCCGGAGCACTGTGGCAGAGAGAAATAACATGCTGAGAGAAACTGCTCAGCTGTGGAGTGTGCTGCCCTGAGGGCGGGGGAGGCTTTGGTGAGTTTGATCTGGGGAAGACGGCTACTGGTTGGACCCGTCTGAGAAATGTCTTGCCTCTGTCCATCTCTATAACAAATACTAATTTTTTTTTTTCTTTTGAGGTGGATCTCGCTCTGTCGGCCAGGCTGGAGTGCAGTGGTGTGATCTTGGCTTACTGCAACCTCCACCTCCTGGGTTCAAGCGATTCTCCTGCCTTAGCCTCTCAAGTAGCTGAGATTACAGGTGCCCACCACCATGCCCGGCTAATTTTTGTACTTTTGGTAGAGATGGGGTTTCACCATGTTGGCCAGGCTGGTCTTGAACTCCTGACCTCAGGTGATCCACCCGCGTTGGCCTCCCAAAGTGCTGAGATTACAGGTGTGAACCACTGTGCCCAGCTAACAAATATAATTTTTATGAGGTATTTTGGCTAGTTTTGGTGAAAAATCTCCCTCCACCTGTTGGTAATTGTCCGTCAATGCTCTACAGACACTGTTTCAGAACTAGGGATATTGAGGGAGAGTTCTCTGTGTGGCTGGAAGAGGACGGTGTGGTAGATGTTATCAGTGTCTGCATTGGATCCTCTTCCTCTGAGGACAAGGAGGATGACACCTCCTCACTCTGTGAAGTTAGGTGTAACTATAAGCCACAGAGCTCTGCCTGTGAAATGTGAGCAAGGGGACATATATCACTTCTGTGTGGAAGTGTGTATGAGCTGGTACATGACTCCACCCCCTCTTTCCTCCTAAGATGGTATCTGACAGGCTACAATAAATGAAATGTCCCTGTTGACCTACACTGGATGTAGCACAAAGAAGAAAGAACCCTTTAGTATTCTAAGCTGCTGAGAGTTGGGAGCTGTTTGTTACCGCAACATAACCTAGCCTACCCTGACTAGTACAAAAGGTTTAGGAAATAGAAATCCACGTTCTATAAGAACAGCAGTCTCAGGCAGGCTTGGCATAGCAAAAGTATTGTTTTAGATAAAAGTAGGGAGGAAGGCTTGAAAACCTCTTTACTTCTCTATTTGGTTCTAGTTAGTGTCTTAACTTTAAAAAAAATGGCTGCAGTTTCAGCCTTCTGGCAAGGGCTGCTTTCAGTAAGATGCCCAGAACAAAACTGAAAGCACCAATCTGTCTCATTTACTTAGATGCATTCAATTGCCAACAAAACTAGACACATGGATGAAGAAAGATGTTGAATAAAATGAGGTAGAGACAGTATCCCAGGCTGAGGGAACAGGCTGAGTCAAGGTGTGGCACATTCTGGGGACTCTAAGTAAATAGGCTCAACTCCCTCATCAAGCCACTAATCTACCCCGTGGTCATTCCAGATGATGAGAACAGATGCCATTTCATTCGGAGGGAAGTCTGGTAAAGGGGACAGGAGAAAAGGGTTGCAGAGTAGAGCAAAGAGCCATACACTGGGTGTACCATGAAATATCTGTCATGAAGCCAGGCACAGCTTGGACTTGTCTTGACATAGGTGTCAACAGGCATAGAAGGTGTTTCTCCTTTTCTAGATCCATTTTCCGTTTTTTTGTTTTTTGTTTTTTTTTTTTGAGATGGAGTTTCACTCTATTGCCCAGGCTGTAGTGCAGTGGTGAGATCTCAGCTCACTGCAACCTCCACCTCCTGGGTTCAAGCAATTCTCCTGCGTCAGCCTCCCAAGTAGCTGAGATTACAGGTGCCTACCAACACGCCCGGCTAATTTTTTTTTGTATTTTTAGTAGAGACAGGGTTTCACCATATTGGCTGGTCTGATCTCAAACTCCTGACCTCAGGTGATCCACCTGCCTCGGCCTCCCAAAATGCTGGGATTACAGGTGAGAGCCACTATGCCTGGCCTTACAAGATCAATTTTTCTAACCCTTCCACTCTTTGTATCTGACTTCTGGGTTGTTCTTATTTCTTGCTTGTGTTGGGTGAATTGAGAGCTGTTGACAGCTGTTTGCTCTCTCTGTCAAAGGTTAACTGAACTAGGAGGCTCATGGAGATTTCCACCCATTTCCAAGATCAAATGAAAAGTCACTGGAAATACAGTTAAACCAGTTTAAAACTAACCAACCAACCCACCCACACGCTCATGAGGATACTTGAGATTGTGAGAAGAGGAGATCAAAGCAAGTTGGGGACATTTACTTCTTTTTCCTGTGCCATATGGACTTTTTTTTTTTTGTAGTTCATTTACCCATTTGTTTAACCTATGTTGCCAAACTTTTGCTATGGGACTCAAGAATTCCAAGAGTATCATTAAGTTACAAACCTAATTAGAAACTGGAGACAGGAAGGGACTAAGGCTGGAGGGTGGCATTGAACATCTAGAATCGCAGCCATTGGGCTAATTAGCCCAAAATGAAGGAATCTAGCAGTAGCAGCCAGCCCTCAGGATGGCAGAGCAGGAGGCTCTCAGTCTGTTGACCTTTTTTGTGAAGCAAACAGATGGCCACATCTTGTTCCAGCTGCAAACGCCATGCAGCCTTCTGCGAGGCCGGCTGGTGTGTGCCTCAGGACAAGTCTGCATGGATGTGCTGGTGAGGCTAGGCCATCTCAGCAAGGCCTTTGTCCATGGAAGGGAGCCGCCTTCTGGCTAAATTCCTGGAGATGTTTCAGGGAAGCCAGCTGTTCTGTTAAGAGTGGGGCTTTGAGGTCAGACAGGCCTGGGGATGAATCCCTGCTCTATCCCTAGCTGTGGAAACTGTTAACCTCTCTCGGATTTCTTATTATAAGTATTTATTGTGTGCTTACTATATGCCAGGCACTGTGCTAAATGCTTTGCATGAGTAACTCATGCCATCCACACACAGACTCAGGATGTGTGTGCGATGTCCCCAGGATCACAGAACTCATAAGGGGGTGTAGTCAGGATTCAAATGGAGTCTGATTCCAGTGCTTGAATTCTTAACCACTGCATGATAATGCCTCACCTAACAGTAGGATCTACACTCCCATGAGAATGTGCTGAGGCTCCAATGAGGCAATCTATGTATAGCTTTAAGAAGTGACCAATTCATGGCTGCTGTTACTACTAATCTTTTTGTAATAAACCCACATAGTTAAGGTTGGCCAAGGCAGTGATTAGATATGTACTCTGCTACTAAGTCCGTTTTTTCAAGGTCCTGTTCTCACCTGGGTTTCAGTTAACAAAGAACCTAAAAAAGAAATTCTGGAGGCACCATCATTTCCTCCCCCAGCTCTCAGGGGAGGGATTTATTCTCCCTGAGCTGAGGAGCAAAGGGAACCACGTAGCGATCAAACATGGATGAAAGGCAGCAGCGGGAGCAGCCCATGTCCAAGTGGAGCCAGCTGGGACCTCCAGGCAAGGTGCCCCGTGGGGGCTGTCACCCCAGAACTGGCCCATGTCTACAACCAGCCCTCCTTGGCACCCCAGCTGCATCTACTCACAAGTTTCAACCAGGCTTCCTCACTGGATTCTCCTCTCAATGCTGGCACCAGGCTATGTGGTGGACGCCGCCTTCTCTCCTCCATCTACCCCATAACGAGGGCCCTCTGTGGACCTGCCTTGCTCCTTCCCCACAAATTTTAGGCTGCTGCTTTTCCTGGACCCCAATCTCAGTGGGGACTTCAGAAACATGTGTCCACGTGTGTGGCCCTTGCCTATTAATGCCTACAGTAATGTTCCCATACATTGGACAGCCCTACAGAAGAGCACTGTTTTAGGAAAGCAAGGAAAAGATAGGGGAGGCCCTAAAGCAATTAAGAATCCCCTCCTCAAATACAGCCCAAATCCACCTGCAGGCGGCAAGTTTCACAAGACTAGAAACAATAAAAACTGCTGGCAACTATAGAATTCTATGGCTGACTCCCTAAATAGGATAAATGATATTCTTCTGCCCTCTACCGGTAAAGAGCTGTGCCACACGGTGCCTCACGGTGCCTCCGGGAAGGACGCAAACAAAGACCGTGACTGACAATGCACCTTGCATTCTTTGGAAACAGAAAGGGAAGTCCGCTATCAACTTGGTGGGGAAGCCTGTCATCAGCGAGATGCCCACACGGGACTGAAAGGAGCCCACCTGCCTTACATCCATGCAGGCACCAAGTAGCCAATGAGCCTGGAACCATGGATCACACCGCTCCACCCTGGGCCTTAACGGGCAAACAGAGATGCCGAACACAGTAAGATGGGAACAGCATTCCAGGCTGAAGGAACAGTCTCAGCAAATGGAGGGAACTGGGAGTGGATGGGCTAAGCCCCCTCCAGCCATCTGTCTACCCGCTGGTCATTTCAGGCACTGAGAAAAGGTGCTGTTTCATTCTCCTAAGAGAGTTTGGTGAGTGAAATCTCCACAGGCAGGCTCAGGAGATCGGGGTTTTATAGAGATACATTCCTTGGATTGGGGACATCCCTTCCCCTCTCTGTGACTTGGTTTCCTCATTTGTAAAATGAAAGAGTTGGAAAGGAATGATGTCTGAGGCTCTTTCCAGCTCAGATATTCTGGTCATTCGCAGGCTTTTGGTTCAAGGCCACCACTGATAGCACTGAGGGCAAAATATGCTATCTGGCCACTTTGCTACCCTTCAAGGTGGCTTCCCCATTGCATCAGGAGTATGCCTCCTCTCTATCCCCTCTGCTGGCCCTGTCTTGTGCTGCCTTGGGTGCAGTGGTGGAAGCTGGCCTGTCTATACGAGCAAGATGGAAACTGACTCACTTCATGTGTCCTGTGTCTTCCCAGCCTACCTGTTACCACACTCCCTAGGAAACGGGTTCAAAGGGCCAGCCGACGGCTGCAAAACACCAGCACTCAATCACCTTCGGAACAGACTCAGCACTTTAAAAGTATAAATAAATAGGGCTGCCTCTGATTTTTTTTTTCCACTTGGAAATTTGTAACATCATTAGCTACAAGTAAATATATCAGTAGGATTAATGGAGTGAATCACAAAGCGACTTGGATTTAAAACCACATTATTTCTTTGGGGTGAATTAGTAAATTTAGCATTGTCAAGAGATGATGGATTGAGAACCTGGGGACTGAGAATTCTTACTGATCCTGAGGATAGATCGGCATGAGAAGCAGAGGCTGGAATGGCTTCTCACCCTCTGTTTTCAGAGAGAAAGGAAATATGGCTTTGCTGCATGCTAAACTACATGGAAATATAGTGTTCCTTTTCAGACACAAGGTAGAGATGTGACAGCACATGGTAGGCAATGACCCAGACGGTCCCCTAAAGTCCCTGCTGCCTGGTATTCTGGTCCTTGTGTAATAATCCCTTCTCTTTCCATAGTAAACCTGAACAAGTGACTAGCTTCTAACAAACGAAATACAGCAGAAGTAATGAGATGTCACTTCTGAGATTAGGTTATAAAAAGACTGTGACTCCTGCCTCAGGTGCTCTCTCTCACCTTCTCTTGGGTTGTTTGCTTCAGGGGTGTCACGGTGAGGTAGTCCCCTCCTGTGGGCCCATGGCAGTGAGCTTGGAAGTGGATCCTCCCCAAGCTGAGCCTTGGGATGATCCAAGACCAGGTTGCCACCTTGCAACACCTTGACTGCAGCCTCATAAGAGACCCTGAGCTAGAACTGCCCAGTGAAGCTGCTCCTGTATTCCAGACCCACAGAAAAAAATACGAAAAACAGTATGATAAGAAATGTCTGCTGTTTTAGGTCATTAGGTTTGGGGTTATTTCTTATGCAGCAACAGGAAACCAATACACCACGTGACTTGCTTTGGTTAATGAAATATGAGGGGAAACACTGTATGTCATTTCTGAGTAGAGGTTTCAAGGGCCAGAGTAAAACTGGTTTCCTGTCTTGGTAACTGTGCAAGCTGGGGTCAGGATGGAACTTCTGTGGGCCTGGGCCTGGGGGGCTGAGAATGCTTATCGATCCTGAGAGTAGATCTACAGGTCACCACGATGAGCCAAGTCTCCCTGACCCTGACACTGCTGACCTACACTGCATATGTAGTGTGACCAAGAAATAAACCTTAGTTGTATAAAATCACTGAGGTTTTGGGACTGTCTGTCACCACAGAATAGTCTAGCCCATCGATCTAGCATCCCATTCAATCCCACAATCATGGATTGGGGAACTCAGGGTATTCTGAGAAATGCACTTGCACTTCCTGCTAAGAACACAGGTTCTGCTTAAAATGGTTTTGAATGTGGATATTTCCTCACAAAGGCCACCACAACAGTGTCTTCTAAAAGGATGTTCCAATATTCTGTCTCATTGACCCCGTTTGTACACTTGCACCTCCAGAACACATGCTCCAACTTTTAGTTTGGAAAGTAGGATCCTCATATAGGTTAATGGGCCCCCACTCAATGAGGATATGCCAAGCATTTCTACACAGACACTCTCATTAAATTCTTATCTGCCAGGCCGATGTAATTATTGTTACCCTTTATTTACAGATAAGGAAAATACAGATTTGAGGAGTAAAATCAGCTATTGGGGGTTATTCAGCCTCTAGGTAGATGTTGGCAGAACCCAGACTTGAGTCAGGCCCTCTGAACCAACACTCACGTTCTTTCATCTAATCTCGGGTGAGCCCCAGCTACAGAGGCAGGGGCATCAAGACTGTCTCTTAGCAAGAAGGTTTTAGAACCCACAGGCTGAAGCCGCATTTATGAGGGAGGAAACGCTTGCGGATGGAAGGTAGACATGGAGATATATTCCTTACTTGTGTCAATGAAGACCGCATCCACGTAGATTTTGGTACAGAAAGAGCCCAGGATAAACCCGCAGGCTGGTCCAAATACCAGCATCGTGAACAGGATTCCTGAAGGAAGATGAAGAAAAAAATAGATTACAAAACAGAAGCTATTCGATGAGCAAAATCACCAAAGGTCAAGGAGATTATTTTACATTGATGAGATGAGATGACATTAGGAATTCATCTAAAAATCCTAGAGGGGAAAGGCTGAATTTCTAATTTTTGGAAACTCTATGAAAGCACTGTATATTATGCTACAATTCTATAGTATTTCAGGTAGGTTGCTTTGAAATTTGTGTCCCTTACTTTTAGAGGACTTCACCCCACATCAAACATATTAAAATACATCCGCATCTATCATTAAATATTTTTTCTGCCATCCACACTTTTGAAAAGGCTTTTATAATTTTGCTTTTACATTTACTTACTTTTATGTAACTTATTTAATTTATGGTTGGCTAAGATCCCTTGACACCCACTGTGCAAACTCAAGAATTTTTTGTGAAGTGAGGATAATCTATGCCACAAATTATTTTCAAATATAATAAAACGTTCAAGACTCCGAAATTCAGCAAATAACAAAGTTCACACGATGGTAAATATCTAACATTTAATTACACATTTATTAATTTCAATTCTTCAATTTCTGTCCACGTTTTGAAGTCATTATCTGTTTCCACTGTTGTTGTGGCTGCTTGTAACAGCTGTTCAGGAATTAAGTGATTCTGTAGCACTTGAGAAAATGGCAGGCTCTGGGCAGTGCTTAAGTATCTGATCGATACAATACCTGGTATTTTACACAGAAATTTTAGGACATTCTGGGAAAAGTACTGATCCCAAATTCAAACCCACAGGCTGTATCTATTTAAATTTCAATTTGGTAGACATTTCTTGAGCACTGACAGTTCTCCAGGCCCTGGAGGCAAAAATAAGAGTCCAGAAAGTGGCCCTTCCCTTTAGAAGCTGGCCATCTGATGAGGACAGTCAGTGCATGGGTAATTCCAGGCCAGGCAGCTCCAAGGTTGGGTGCTAACAGGCCACACGGGCACCTGGAGAGCAGGGTGAGAGATGAATGTCACTTGCTGGGAACCTAAGCCCAGTGGAGGGTAGCTCTCCAGCCTAGTCTGTTCATAGGCGTAGACCAACTCACCCTAAATTCTCTCGGTGATGTCATTGTGGAACCAATCACATATTCATCCATTCAGTCAAGTTTTACTGAGCTCCTTCTATGTGCCAAGTACTATTCTCAGGGTTGGGGATTCAGCATTGAACCAACCAGTAAAAATCCTAGCCTCGCTGACTTGAAGCTTTCCCTCCTCCGAACTCATTCATTGACTTGAGGTGGGGAAAAACAACTTAAACTACACAGAGGAAGGCAAATGGTTTTTAAATACCGGGCAAAGGAAGCCGCGTAATATAGTTTGCATGTTTGTCCCCTCCAAATCTCATGTTGAAGTGTAATCCATAATATTGGAGGTGGGGCCTAGTGGGAGGTATTAGATCATGGGGGCAGACCCCTTATGAATGGCTCAGCACCGCCCCCTTGGTGATGGGTGTGCTCTCACTCAGTTCACACAAGATCTGATTGTTTAAAGGAATCTGGGACCTCCCCTTCTCCCTCTTGCTCTGGCTCTCGCCACGTAATGTGCCTGCTCCCCCTTTGCCTCCTGCCATGATTGGAAGCTTCTGGAGACCTTCACCAGGAGCAGATGCCAACACCATGCTTCCGGTACTGTCTGCAAAACCCCGAGCCACTCGAATCTCCTTTCTTTGTAAATTACCCAGCCTCAGGTATTTCTTTATAGCAAGGCAAGAATGAACTAACACACATTTACACACGGGAACCCAGAACCCTGAAGCAGTCATTTGAACGGGGCTTATAGGAGATGTCTGATGAAGGAAAGAATGAAGAAAATGTTTTATATCACAGAAACAGGGCTGAGTCCACCCTCAGCAAAATCCTACTTGGATGCGAAGAAATCTGGAAGTTCCACTGTTTCCAAATAGTCACTCCATGGCCAACCAGAAACTGTAGAATCTTATTTCTGTTAATAAGGTGCATTTTAGAAAATGAAAATGTGTCACTTTGGAGAGGAGTGACGTTCACATGATCAGCACATTATCTCTGGTTTGTCATAACTTTAAGATAACCAAGCACACAAAGTTGGGGGCAGGGGATGTTACTGGAAAAGATCTTTCGGAATGGGCTAGAATTAGGGGGCTCTATTTAGTGGGGTTGTGGTTAGGGAGCAGAGCAGCAGGAAGAGGATCTGAGAAAGCAGCAGGAAGTAGAGGGCATGGAGAACAGTTGTCCGAGTCAGAAGCGGCACCCACACTAGACCAGAGAGATTCCTGCAAAGTCCTGAAGCCAGTCATATCCTCCCATCCAGGCTGCAGGCTGTGGTAAGCCAGCAGTCAGAGTTACTGGCACTCTAGAGACGGCTCAGCAAACAAACTCACTGCTCAGGCCTTCCCAAAAGAACGGGACACAGAGCACAGGGATACAATTCTCTTGCCATGGGTGCTGTGCCTACCCTTCTTGACTCATCTGCTGTGACTCCCGGCACCTCCCCCATCACCCATAATCATAGCCCTTCTTCCCTTAAATAAATCCCCCAAGCAATGTATTCGTCACTGATCCATGCCCTACAGACTGAATAATGAGAATTATTATTAATACTTAATGGGTCAAAGGACCAAGCCTTCAGCATCCTTGGAAAAACAGAAACAACCAACAAGCTGAAGGGGTTGCATCGAGACTGTGCTGTTATCCCCATGCTTGGGGACAGTACAGTTGAAAGTGAGGACTAGCCAGACATCATAGCACAATTGGGGTCCCAGGCCTCCTGCCCTCTTGCAGAAAAGGAGGGGCGTCCCTCAAGCTGCTGGCCTCAGCTGTCCACAGGAGCCCCACAGGGCCCAGATGGGCCAGTGACTGGGGATGGTGGCTTGAACAGGGAACAGCAGTGGCCTGCTGTGGAGACACCACACCCTGAGGCAGCCTCTCCACCAAATTCCTCTATGAGAAGGTGTGGGTTTCCAGAGTTTGGATTGTGGCTTTTTCAAGGTCCTGTTCTCATCTGGGTTTCAGCTGAACAAAGATAAGCTAAAAAGGAACAGGACGGAGTTGATAGGACCCCACGCCAAACACCAAAGACATTGTGCACACGTATTTTGGTATAAAAGGCATCTTCCTCCTCAGGTGCAACCTCTGGTCACTTTTCTATGTCGCTCCTCGTCACACGGACCTCAAGGTAAACCACCACCTGCAACGCGTTCTCGAACCTTTTTCAAAGGACAGTCCGGTGGTGGGACGTGGGAGGGGCCTTCGTGCATCGGGAAGTGCCTTCAGAAATATCTTAACAACTGAAACGAGCAGCTTCAGAAGGCCCAGATGTGCAAGGCAGGTTCTGAGCTAACAACGGTTATGCTGAGCTTTCTTCCTTGGTTTCCCCCTTAATTCATCCTGCCAGGCTGTGATTTTGTTCTTGTTTTGGCAAAGCCAGCTCGAATGTTCTGCCTGAATGGAGGAGGAGCAGATTGCCAGGTACTGAGATGCAGGATCCCTGTGGAAGGAAGGGCCAGCGCCTCCAGGTGCAGAACCTTCTGCAGCGGCCCGGTGCTGCCCCCTGCTGTCTTCCAGGTTCATGTATGTCGGTGGGGAGGAGAGCCTGGGATTCCCTAGTCAGGGAGGTCTGAAGGCTTTCTTTGCTACTACCCTGGATAATTGAAAGCACTTTACATGCCTGATCTCCTGGAAGCCATTCAATGACCCCAGGGGGAAGTTTACTGGGCCTGTTTCACAGCGGAAAAACAGAATCTTAGAGTGGTTCAGCACCTGGCCCCAGCACGTTGCTAGAAAGCAGCACAGTGGGAAGGATTGCCCAGGTTTTCTAACCCCCTAAGGGAAAAGTCCAGGTGAGAGTATGAACAGCCTGGGTTCAAATCCCAGCTCTACCACTTCCCAGCTCCATGAACCTTTGGGCAAAGTACATTTAACCTCCCATGCCTCAGCTTCTTCTTCTGTAAAGTGGGGGTAACAATAGATCGACTTCATGGGGTTGTGGTGAGGATTGAATGACCTCCTATTTGCAAACCTCTTAGAAAAGTGTCTGGCATACAGAAAGACCCAGGGAAGGGTTTGTTAAATAGATGACACCTGTGACTCTCCTACAACGAGGGCTGGCACCCACCTGGGTTCCCAGTCCTTCTCTTTCCAAAGCTCACTACACCCTCCATACCTCATTTCTTAAAGCTATCTTTGGGGGAGAGGGGCTGGAGCTGGGAGCAGGCCAGGCCCAGGAAGGAGTTCTTGCTGGGAAACAGCTGTAATCTCAAGCCTCATCAGCATCCAGACTGACTGGATGTCCGGAGTCCACCCCACTGATCTGCTGCTTGCCAAGCCAAGCACATTGGCACACTGGGTTGCCAGCCCGACCTCCCAGGGATGAGATGGCTGGACAAGGGGACAAGGGTTTGAATGCAGTGCTCCCCTGCATGGTGATCTGGCTCTGGCATTCTGTACACAGGCCTTCAGTGAATTAGCACAAATCTTCAGTTTACAGACTGTGCTGGGACACCATTGGGTACTGCAGTGAACTCACAGGGGTAAGGCAGAATATCTTGAGTTTCTAAGGGAAACACAGCAATACCTGACATCTCTTGGACATGTGAATCTACTATCCCAAGGTAGCCTATGGTGTCAACACTGGATTTCTTTCAGTGACATTACATCTTTGTGAGCTGAGTTTTCCATAGTTGCTGTGAGAAAACCAAGTGTGGAAATCAATATGCACAGAAAATGAGGGTGGCAATGTCCAATCTGATTCCAAGGTTTCAGAAACTGTGCAGTTGCCAACAGGGACACACATCCCATTAGTAAGCGATTATGACTAAAATATATATATATTTTCTGTTGATACGTATCATGGTTTTCGAGCAGCTACTCTATGTTGTGAGGATAGCAACACTTACTAAGCAGTATGAGCCTAACTGCTTGATAAACAAAACTACTACGTATTTCTTTTGGACTCAGGACGCTGTGAACCAAGTAAGTTTGGGACCCTCTGTTGCAAATTTGCCTGAGAAGCTTATTATCTCAACTTATACCCAGATGATGAAGAGTTTCTGCCCATGACAGATTAGTCTAGGTATACACTACGGCAAATTCCTTAAGAAAACGACCTCCAGCAAGACTTCCTGGTGGTGAGTCTGCCTTTTCCCGCACTATATAATCTTTAAATTCAGCACCAGCCACCTCTGGACCCTGGGGAAGAAAAGATAACTTGGACAAGAATTTTGCCCTCAAGAAGCTTCCTGTCTTATTAGAAAGACTTTCCACCACTCTCGGTCAACAAATACCCACTGAGAACCTCCTACTTGCTAGGACTATGTCAGCAACAGTGAACACTATGGGACATAGCAGTGAACAAAACAGATGAAAACCTCACCCTTGTGGAGTTTGAAGAATGGCAACAAACACAAATCTATCACATGATATCAGGAGCAGTACCAAGATGAGAGTACATGATGGTGAGGGGCTACAGGAAGACCCCACCCTGCACCGAGTCCTCCACACCATGTGCCACGCAGTGTCAGATGAACTTTAATAAAGCTGGGGTGGCTGGGCGTGGTGGCTCACGCCTGTAATCCCAGAGCTCTGGGAGGCTGAGGCAAGCGGATCACGAGGTCAGGAGATCAAGTTCATCCTGGCTAACACGGTGAAACCCTGTCTCTACTAAAAATACAAAAAATTAGCCGGGCGTAGTGGCAGGTGCCTGTAGTCAACAGCTACTCAGGAGGCTGAGGCAGGAGAATGGCGTGAACCCAGGAGGCGGAGCTTGTAGTGAGCCGAGATCACGCCACTGCACTCCAGCCTGGGCGACAGAGACAGACTCCATCTCAAAATAAATAAATAAATAAATAAATAAATAAATAATAAATAAATAAATAAAGCTGGGGTAAGTGGACTCACAGGGGTTCCACTACCATGGCAGGAAGAACAGTGGCCCCCAAAAACCTCCACATCCCAATCCCTTAAGGCAACTATGTTACCTTAAGCGACCAAGAGGAATTAAGATTGTAGACTAAGAGATTATACTGCAGAGTCCCCATAGGCACAATCTTATCACAAGGATCTTTTAAATGTGAAGAGGGAGTCCGAGTCAGAAATGGGGATGTGATGGCAGAGCCAGAGAGACGGCATCATGAGAAAGAGCTGACTAGTCATGCTGGCTTTGAAGATGGTGGATGGCCATGAGCCAAAGCTTGTGGGCAGCCTATAGAAGCTGGAGAAGGCAACAAAACAGATTTTCTCCTCCACGCAGGATCACAGCCCTGCCAGCACCTTGATTGTAGCCCAGTAGGACCCAATATGGATGTCTGACCTCCAGAAGCGTAAGATAACAAATTTGTGTTTTACACTAAGTTTGCAATAATTTGTTACAGTAGTGATAGAAAACTAATACAATCGTTAAGCAAATCTGGGTTAAACTCCAAGACTTCTCAGATCTCATAAATGCTAATATGCATGAATGGAATATTGCACAAAGGTTTTGTGTTAATTATTTGACCACAAAACATTTTTTTGTGTGTGTCATTTCTCAGTCCTGGTGTTGACTGCAGCACAGTCCAAGAGACACTGTTGTAGATGCTAAGCCCCTCAGGCAGAGATGATGCTTTATTCTTCTTTATATTCCTATTTCGCCCCAGTGCTGATGGACAGTAAGTTCGCTGTTTGTTGAAAGGATGTGTGGTTGAGAGCACTAGTCACAGTGGCCATGCAGAAGAAGGAGTGAGTGACTCTTCTTGGCAATTGCTTGCCCAGGCTCACCTGGCCAGTTGGTGGCAGAGCTGGGACCCAGACCCAAACCTCCTCTTTCCCTGACCAGTGCTCTTTCCCCAAGTCCCTCTGCAGATGTCTCTGTCTGTGCTGTGGACTCTCCCACTCGATGTACCTCCTTCTAGATGCAATCCGACCATGGGACTCACTAAGTCTACAAGAAGGGTCAGGCTAGGTGCATGTAACCAGAAGAATTTGGAAAATACAACTGGAAACTTGAAATTTTCTGGTCCAGGAAGAATTATTCAACTTTAATACTATTACTGATATAAGATAATAATAGATGGGGCTGGGCGTGGTGGCTCACACCTCTAATCCCAGCACTTTGGGAGGCCGAGGCAGGCAGATCACCTGAGGTTGGGAGTTCAAGGCCAGCCTGACCAACATGGAGACAACCCCGACTCTACTAAAAATACAAAATTAGCTGGGCATGGTGGTACATGCCTGTAATCCCAGGCACTCAGGAGGCCGAGGCAGGAGAATTGCTTGAACCTGGGAGGCAGAGGTTGAGGTGAGCCAAGATAGCGCCATTGCACTCCAGCCTGAGCAACAAAAGCGAAACTCCAGCTCAAAAAAAAAAAAAAAAAAATAATAGATAATAAAAGTACTAGGCAACATTTTGTGTTTGTGGAATGTAGCAAGGTGATTCTAAATTGTTCATAGAAATGCTAAGGACCAAGACCAGTCTAGACATGTTTGAAGAAGCACAACTGTTGTCAAGACTTTCCCTGTTGGGTATCAGGACTTCTTTTAAAGCCAAGGTGCCTCTGGCACAAGAAATAACAAATATAGCAATGAAGCAAAAGAGAAGCCCAACAACAGATCCACACCCTTACAGACACCTGCTTTATGACAAAGTGTGCACTGCAAAACAGTTGGGGAAAGAATGGTATTTTCCATAAATGGTGCCAGGACAATTTGCAACTATAGGCGGTGGGCGGAGGGAGGGGGGTGGTGGGGGAATGAGCCTCACCTCACAACACGTGCAAAAATCAATTCCAGGTGGATCAGAGACCAGAGACTATAAGGGTGAAAAGGAAAACATAAAAGCTTCTAGAAAATGACAGAGTAAAGTACCTTCATGATGTTGGGGGTAGAGAAATATTCCTTTTTTTTTTTTTTTGAGACGGAGTTTTGCTTTTTCACCCCGGTTAGAGTGAAGTGACTTGATCTCAGCTCACTGGAACCTCTGCCGTCCCCACACCAGGTTCAAGTGATTCTCCTGCCTCAGCCTCTTGAGTAGCTGGGATTACAGGCGTGTGGCACCATGCCTGGCTAATTTTTGTATTTTTAGTAGAGACGGGGTTTCACCATGTTGACCAGGCTGGTCCTGAACTTTTGACCTCAGGTGATCCACCCACCTTGGCCTCCCAAAGTGCTAGGATTACAGGCATGAGCCACTGCGCCCGGCTGAAAGATTTCTTAAAACAAACTTAAAAAACACTAGCTATTGAAAGAAAAGACTGGACTACATTACAATTAACAACTTCATTATCAGAGTGAAGCTGATTTATCAGAAGAGTTCACCAAGAATGTGAAAATGTGGGAAAATACATGTGCAACACATATATTTTTATAATACATGTAAGAATCAAGGAGTTCATATGTAGACTATATAAAAACTACTATAAATTGATGAGAAAGAAAAAAACCAGGAGAAAAATCGACAGAAACCTTAATAGGCATTTCAAAAAACAGGAAATCCAAATGAACAATAAGATATAAGAAAATGGTCAGTCTCATTAGAATTCAGAGAATTATAAATTTAGACCCCAATTAAATACGAGTGTGTTTCAGCTGGTTAAAGAGTCTGACACTACCAAGTGTTGGCAAGGATCTGAAGCTCTCCTACACTGCTGGTAGGAGTGTAAATTGGACAACACCTTGGCAAAACTTGGCAGTGTCTGAAAAAGTGAAGATAAACTAATCCAATGATGCACAATTCTGAGTCCTTGGTAAACACCCCACAGCAAGTGTGCTGACGGACTGCACATTCTTGGAGAAGCATCCAAGAATGCGCACACCAGCATTGTTTGTAAGATTTCCCAACTGGAAACTATCCCAAATGCCCAACCATGGTAGAACAGAAAAACATACTGTGATCTCCCGTACTCTGGAGTTACTCTACAGCAAAGAAAACAGATCATCTATAGGTGATCATCAATGACATGGTTGAAGTTGAAAGAACACGTCCTGGTGTGAGTCTACTTATGCAGGATTCCAAACAGCAAAGTTAACTCTTTAATGACAGGGAGTCAAACTATAAAGAACACCAGGGAAAGGACTATTACAGAAGTCAGGACTGTGGTTACTGTCGGGGGAAGGGAGGGTCCTTGGGGACAGGTGGGGAGGAGATTCTCCAATGCTAGTTTTGTGGTTGATTTGTTTATAGACTTCATGGGTATTTATTTCACAACAACGTGTAAGCTGTGTATCTACGTTTCAGGCAAGAAAACGTGATTTTAATATTTTTAATACACACGTATGCACATGCGTGATATAAGTACATACACACAAATGGCTATTTGAGTGCCTGCTGTGTGACGCCAGTTGGACTATGTGATTCACCAATGTTACCTCAGGATTACTCCCAACTAGGCAATGGGTTGGGTGCTACCATCCCAGTTTCATCCAAGAAGGCATGAGGCCCACTTAAGCAGCTCGCCCCGGGGCACTTGGCTTCCAGGCAGCAGCTTAACCACAATATGCCTACGCAAAACTGGGTCCCCAGTTAGCTCACGTGCAAATAGACAGGGTTGAAGAACAAAAACAACTAAACTTTGCTATTCAAAGGCAGCTCCTTGAATCGAGGAGTCCATTCAGATGCAGGCACACGGCTACTCTGAAATCAAAACTTACAGCAGGGAAGCCCAGTTGCCCTTCAGAGGGCAGGTGGGGTGGGATTCAGAGTGGGTTCTACAGCTGGACTGGATGTGCGTCCAAGTACTACCAACTTAACTGCCTGGAAACCTGGGGAGCCCCCTCAGCCTCTCTATGCTGGTTTGCTGCATCTGAAAAGTAGTGTGCTACTAAGACATTTTATAGGGCTGTGGTGAGTAATAAATGAAAGCAATGGTGGGGGCCCAGCCCTGGCACAGATGAAGCACTTCATAAACATCAGTTTCCACTGATGCTCCAAGAGGAAGACTCCATGGCACCCATTCTTGTTCTCCCTCCTTCCGCCTGGCCCTGCGGCTTCTGCAGGCTCACTGGAAGGCCTGCTCTTGGAAGAGATACTATCACTGGCTGGCTATGGTGGTGCATGCTGCATTGTTTGAGAAAAATGTTGACCCTTCCATGTGAACCTTTATTTTTCTCTTTGTCAAAGTGTAGCATGGGGCATGGCTCCTGCGTTGAACAGCCTGTGGGGCTGGGTGAGAGGAGCACAGGCTGCCCGAGGAGCTGCAGGCATCTGCTACCTGCTGGCATAAACTCTTTATGCCCCTGAGAGCAAAGCCAAACAGGCCATCCAGAAACCCAGGGACTGCTATCAGCTCCCCTACTCACTTTGCAATTAGATGCACCCATTCGTGTTTCTGACCCTCAAGGTCTCCTGGGGTGGAAAAGGACAGAGAGGTACTACTGACCTTGAGGGAGGATCGGTGTCAAGGCTCTGCTGTACTGGTGTGTCTGTGAGCATGGTACAAATGCTCCCTCGGCCTCAGTTTCCTCCTCTGTAAAATGGGATGACAACAATCCCTACCTCCTAAGGGGTTATTGAGGGTCAAATACGTAGTGCACAGAATGCTTCTGATCAATTCCTGGAACACAGACATTCTCAAAAACCATCAGCTGTTATTTGTTCTTCTTACTGGTGCCTCTAACAGCAGGATTTTCTTTTTTTATGACGTTTTAAATCACTTAGGTAAACTCTGCTTTTTTTAGAGAATGTGGAAAATACAGGATCATGTAAAGGATTAGCATCGTTCTCATATTTCCCTTTAGGCATTATTATATTTGTACTGTCTTTCTTCATATGCGTTTATCATTCCTGGAACCATGTAAGTTAATTTACAAACAAAACCCCTTTTCTTCATTTTAAAAGCAGCACATGCTCATTAAGGATGACTGAGGATAAACCAAGCGTAGAGAGGCAGAATAACACAGTGGCCAAGAACACAGACCCTAGAGCTGCATGGCCAGGGTCTGCAGTCACTGGCTGTGTGACCTTGACAAAGGTACTTACCTACTCTGGCCCTCCATACTCTCACCTGTGAGTGAGGTTAACAGTACCCACCTCGCAGGATTGTTTTGAGGTTTGGGTGATTAGTGCCTCACAAGGGCTTTCCACAGCGCCTGGCATACAGTAAGTGCTCAATAAATTTTAGCAATCATTATTACAAAGATGACAGCACAAATCACCATCTCTCACCACCCAGAAACACTGACATGCATTTAGATCTTCCCTTCTCGTCTGTTTCTATGCACAAGGCTTATTTCTTATGAGTAATTTTTAATAAATCCCAACACAGTTCTCCTAATGACAGAAAGCTTAGAGACAAATACGATTCTCTGAAGAACATACTTCTGAAGAATACAATTATCTATTGCAATAGAATTTCAGGTGCTGATAGAACGGAACTGCAAGGACCAGGCACTTCTCAGCTGTCCTTGGGAGAGTGGTGAAGGGAGAACCTACTGTACCCAGGAGTCACGCTGCCCTGCACTCAAACCTCTGCTCAGATCCCTTCCTGAACGTGGGAAGGGAGGGCACCTGAGGACAGTGAGATCTCACATGACAGTCAGTCCTGACTTCTTAGCAGTGACAGAGACAGCACCAAGCTAGCTGGGCAGCAGAAGGGCAGAGCTGAGGGTTCTGTACTTGACAAAATGAGAGATCCCTTTGGGGGAAGCCTGAGGTTTTCTTTAGAGGAATCTTGAGATTTGCTTGACTCAACTTCGAGGAAACAAGAAAACGGTCTCTCCTATAATATCTCGCAGGGCTGGTACACACGGGTGACGGCTTCTACCTCTTTACAAGGAAAGTGATCATTTCGTCTGATTATAAAAGTAATGCATTCAGCAGGGGGAAAACACAGTTTTCCTACCATCCAGAGGCAGTCATTTTCTTCAGCTCTTTCTCTGCCCCTTCTGATTTATTCAAGGTCAATCATTCTCACTATGCCTTGATAAGGTGAGTTTATGAGACTCTTTTTGTAGATGAGAATACAGAAGCGCAGAGAGATCAGTCAGCTGCACCAAGGTCACACAGCTTGTACATGGTGGAAGTGGATTTTAACTCAGGACTCCGGGACCTAGTTCCTAGAGAAAGAGCAGGTATCACGGCACAGTGGTGAAGGCGTGAGAATCAGCCAAGGCTGATTCCTACCAGGCTGGAATCCTGGTTACATTTCTCAATTTCTGGAAGATTCACTTCCCAACTCTGAGTCTGGGAAGAAGGGTTATCAGTCTTGTAGAACAGTGAGAATTATATGTAATGCATGCAAATCTTCTGATATCTGGCATGAATAGAAGCTTTCTAGAATTATCTTTGTGTTTCAGGAACAATGAGTCCAAGAATGGGGGCGTGCATGGCTGGTCTCCCTAGGCTGTTTCTTTGGCTGGACTTGGAGTAATTTTAACCCTAGATGGTTCTCGCAAGTGGGAGGAGTGAGGAGGAAACGCGGGTTGGCTGTGACTCTGCCCCACTAGAGGGCAGTGCTGACCTAGGAAAAAGAGCAATTCCAGGCTGCTTGAACATCCTTGGCCTCCACTTCCTAAATGCCTGTGAAACCCTCCGTCAGGGCTTTGCGTTTCTCATCACCCACTTGCCTTCGTCTCCTCAATTTATATAAATGTATTGCCACATCTTAAATCTGCAGGCTCAAAGTTCTCCCCTCAGAGGGAGCATTCTGCATCATATGTGCATGAATAAAACATGATCCATAAACAGCAGGAAACCTGCAATACACATTTATCTGGTGCCTGCTGCCAACAGCCTGCCAGCATTACATAACTGACCTTGCTTATGTCTGAGGAGGAGGTGAACAGGGAAGGAGACGGTGAGGAGGTGACCATTTATTGAGCACAAATTAGGTGTTAGACACTGTGTAATAGAATTATCTCCATCACAAAGTTTACAAACAAAACCAAACACTAATGTTACCAAATCCACACAGTACATGACAGAGCCAGAGCATATGTGCCCCTCCCCACATTACTGCACCTGTTGACCTC
Source organism: Homo sapiens (assembly GCF_000001405.40). Classification (NCBI taxonomy): domain Eukaryota; kingdom Metazoa; phylum Chordata; class Mammalia; order Primates; family Hominidae; genus Homo; species Homo sapiens. The sequence continues at coordinate 92,081,928 of NC_000015.10, read as the reverse complement.
TTAGATCAGATACATCAATGGGGCTCAAACTGGGCTGCACATTGGATTCACCTCAGAAACTTGTAAAAAGAAAACACCAATCCCTAGGTCTCACTCCTGGAGATTGTGATGAAGCTGGTCTGGAAGACACACTAGGCAATGGGCTTTTCCCAAAGTCCCCAGGTGATTCTACCTGCAGACAGGTTGAGAATCCTGGACTAGAACCAGCCTCTGCCCTTGCTGCCCTTGACCAGACTTTCTCATTAAAAAGCACCATCAGTGGGCTGGGTGCAGTGGCTCACACCTGTAATCCCAGGACTTTGGGAGGCCGAGGTGGGCAGATCGCCTGAGGTCAGGAGTTCGGGACCAGCCTGGCCAACATGGTGAAAACCTTATCTCTACTAAAAATATAAAAGCCAGGCATGGTGGTGGGCACCTGTAATCCCAGCTACTAGGCAGGCTGAAGCAGGGAGAATTGCCTGAATCTGTGAGGTGGAGGTTGCAGTGAGCCAAGATCGCACCAGTGAGCCGAGATCACAACACTGCGCTCCAGCCTGGGCAATAGAGCGAGACTCTGTCTCAAAAAAAGGAGAAAAAGAAAAAAAAAAGCACCACTAGTGGTACCAGCACTGACCAAAGAAATAGCTGGTACCCAAAATGCATTTGGGAGGTAAAGAGTAGAATGATGGTTACCAGAGGCTGGGAAGGGGGCAGGGGAGGTGGGGATGGTTAATGGGTGCAAAAATATAGACAGGATGAATAAACTCTAGTATCTGATATTGCAACAGGGTGACTACAGTCAACAGTAATTTATTTTACATTTAAAAATAACTGAAAGAGTATCACTGGAATGTCGGTAACACAAAGAAATGATAAATGCTTGAGGTGATGATGGATACCCCATTTACCTTGATGTGATTATTGCACATTGTAGGCCTGTGTCAAAAAATCTCACGTACCCCATACACACACACACACACACACACACACACACACACACACACACACACAGCTACTATGTATCCATAAAAATGAAAAATACCTACCTTCCCCCGCCCAAAAAAAATGCATCTGGGCACATGGGCTAAAGGAAGAATATGGACACAATTTGATATTCACCCTGGAAGGTGGAGGGGCAGCCATTCACCAAATGTGGCCAGACCAAAGTCACTGAGCATGGTGACAGAACCCAAATCTCTCGTAAAGCCAGCCAAAGCAGCACTGTATGCCGCCACGAGTGTGAGCACTCAGCACAGAACTCTGCCTGGTGTACCCCGTGTGGCCTCTGGGGCACCGAGTATGGCCCCTACTGCTGTCTGGTATGGGCATGGGCCTTGCTTATGCTGGTCTTCAACCCAGTTTCTCCTTCTCCTCCAGGGCCCTAGCGGTGCATCAAAAACTGATCCTCCATTCAAAGCCTGCCTTAAATACCACCTCCTCCAAGGGGCCTTCCTAGATTTTCTCTCATCCTTCACCTTCTCTCTTCTGTCATAGTACGTGACCTGAGACTTTTTCTATAGTTCTGCTTCTAGTTGGACTGGAGGAAAAAAAAAAAAAAACTCCATGTATTGGGCTTGCCATAATAATTGTAGGCTCGGGAAAAGCAGAGACCCTGTTTAAAAAAACACAAAAATCACCTTTTCCATAGGGGCAGTACAGCCCTGGAGGAGGGACTCCGTGTGTGTTGAACTGTAAACTGATTACTACCCAGGCCTGGGAGGGGTAGGAAGCCCTGGCCTCATGGAGAATAATTTGTATAACGATATCCCACAAAGCTAGACGACTTCAGGATGCTCGGGGAGGATCTGCAGTTGGTCAAAGCCGCAGCTGTTGCCACTCTGGGCTTCTCAACCTAGCTGAAAGAGGCATCTTTTCTTTCTCTCCAGGCCCAGCCAGGCCTTACCAGGGTGAAGGCACATGCCTCTCTGGCTGGCTAGCCGCAGGCCGGAAATCCATCCAGAGAAACAACAGCTTGTGCCTTCCTGAAGGGCCCGCATTCTGTGTGTGAGCCCAGTGGGGTCCTCCCAGAAGCTCTCTAGGGACATCCTCTCAGATGCAGGTTTTGCAGGCTCCCTGCTGTCCACACCCAAGCCCCCAGCAAGGGGCAGTGCAGAGACCGCAGGACCTTGTGTCTAGTTCAGGCTTCAAAGCTCTGCAGGACAACTTAGCAACAGCAGGAGGCTGTGCTCGAGGCACTCACCCCTCAAAGCCTCAGCAGCTCCATCTGGAAAACAGGGCAGTCACCTGCCCTGCTCTCCCCCTATTACGGGCTGGACTGTGTCCCCTCAAATCCATGTTGAAGCCCTGGCCGCGGGAACCTCAGCACGTGATTGTGTTCAGAGATAGGGCTTTTAAAGAGATTATTACATTACAATGAGGCCCTTAGATGGGCCCTAATCTGATGGGTGTCCTTAGGGATTTGGACCCAGAGACACCAAGGAAGCTCAGGTACAGAGGACAGACCGTGTGAGGGCACAGTGAGAAGCTGGCCGTCTGCTGGCCAAGGAGAGAGTTCTTAAGAGACCCATGGCCAACACTACCATCTCAGGCTTCCAGCCTCCAAAACTGTAAGAAAATGAGTGTCTGTTGTTGAAGCCACCCAGTCTATGGCATGTTGTTATGGCAGCCCCAGGAGACTAACACAGCTCCCAAGACCAGAGTGGGGATCATGTGGGCCAACACTTGAGAGGGTACTTGGAAGCTGTGGTGTGCCCCCTAGTGGCATGGAGTACTAGATGCATGTGGTGGGCCATCCAACGTGAATGCAGCCATCCCAGGGCCCCCAGATGTCAGGATAAAATCAGCACCTTCATGGGCATTGCTCCCTGGTTAGGACTGGCCGGGTGGAAAACTGCCAGGGAGCTCTGACCTGTGGGACCATTTTACTCATTATCGCTGGACCCCCTCACCGTGCCTAGCAAAGGGCAGGCTTGGAAATAAGTTTCCTAAACGTGGTACACAAGATAAACTGTTTCTCACAGGGCGCAAGCTCGAGTATGGCAGATGAGTCACAGGACATCAGTGAGGGAAATATCCCCATTCATAGCGTAGGGCCAGAGCTGGGTTTTGAGGCAGGTCTGTTGCTAGTGAGGATGACGGTGCTGATGCCTAGTGAGCTGAGGGCTGAGTTCTAGCACATTCCATGTACTACCTCATTTAATCGTCGCCACAACCCTATGCGCAGATACACTCCCATTTTAACGTAAGGAAACTGAGACACAGAGAGATGAAGTAACGTGCCCAGTGATACATGTACAGTAAGTGGGAAGCTGAAATAAAAACAAAGCAGAGGACTAAAGAAAGGGGAGGAAGAACAGGAAGAAGGCAGGAACAGCCTGGGCAAAGCAGGAACAGCCTGGGCAAAGGCAGAGGTGTGGGAGAGCCCCAAGATGTGAGGCAGACAGTAGACGGAGACCCTTGCAAACAAGAAGAGTCAGTGGTGTGGCTGTGTAGGAGATGGCTGGGCTGCAGCTGCCCGCGGAGGTGCGCCGAGGTCAGGCTATGACCTGCCTACAGCAAGAAGCACAGCAGCTCCTGGGCTCAGGTGTGTCCTGCTCAGGCTATGTGGCCTCAGGGAGACACCTGCTATGGAGTGCTGCTGTGGAGGTCCCTGAGGCTCGGAAAACCTTGGGGATGAGCCCAGGCCTCAAGGGCAAGACCCAAGTCAGGCCCTGTGCTAGCCAGCTCTGGTGCTCCCAAAAGCCAACTTGTGTAGTTCCCAGTTATTTCTCACTCTCATTCACTAGCATGCTCAGGTGTTCACTCAATGGGGATATAGCGAACTAACTCGGTTTCTGCTGCTCCACAGTGGAAAGCCCACTGCTACCTCGAGATCCAGCTCTGTTGATGCCATGAATAATGGCAACAACAAAATCATTCTTAATTAAATACCCGCCATGTGCTAGGGCCTTTAGACACTGCATAGAATGTAATCCTCACAACCCCGAGAGGCAGGTGTCTTCACCATCAGTTTATAAATGAAGAAATGGAGGCACAGAAAAGTTACATTACCAGCCTGTGGCCACACAACTGCGTAGGAGCCCAGGTCCTGCAGGATCCTGCACTTCCTCCCACTCAGAAAGGGGAAATGGCAGCAGAAGGTTGAGGGCTTTGGAAATCCCTCTAACTCTAAGCTAATTTTAGAGAAATCTAATTAATTCCAAAGGAACCAGCGCCTGCAGAGTGCTGAAGAACCTGCTCAGAGCCATATCCCTGCTGGCTCTGGGAAGCCCAGGGTCCTGAGGGAGACAGAACTGAGCTTTAGTGGCATGGGGCCTCTACTTGGGACTCCACCCCGCACCTACAGTGTGGGGGATCTCTGGACCTTAGTTTATCCATCCTCACCTCGTGCTCCACCACCAGTGGAAATGGCGGCAAAGGCTCAGGTGCTTCCTCTTGTCACCAGAGGGAGCCAGACGCTTTCTCATGCCAGGGAATGCCTGCCTCACTGGTGTGGCTGAAGCAGTGCAGTTCAAGGTAGGAGGGTCACCAGCTCCTCTGAGGGTGGCTCCCCCGCCTGTAGGAGGACACGGCGGGGCAAATGACTCTGTGGGAGTCTGTGGTAATCAGTGAAGGTCCTCACGCCGTGTCTGTCAAAAAAATGACCATCTCCGAAAAGCCCAAGAAGGGAAGGGAGGCCTGCTATTACCCCAACCACAGGGTAATAGAAGGACCCATATCAGGGACCTCCCTGATATGGTTTCGCTGTGTCCCCACCCAAATCTCATCTTGAATTGTAGCTCCCATAATTCCCACGGGTCGTGGGAGGGACCCCATGGGAGGTAACTGAATAATGGGGGTGGTTACCCTCATGCTGTTCTCACGATAGGGAGTTCTCACGAGTTCTGATGGGTTTATACGGGGCTTTTCTCCATTTTGTTCAGCACTTCTCTCTCCTGCCACCATGTGAAGAAGGAAGTGATTGCTTCTTCTTCTGCCATGATTGTAAGTTTCCTGATGCTTTCCCAGCCATCCTGAACTGTGAGTGAATTAAATCTCTTTTCTTTATAAATTATGCAGTTGTAGGTGTGTCTTTATTAGCAGCATGAGAATGGACTAATACACTCCCCAATCTCATACAGTCCGTACTTGACTCGGTTCATCTTCCCAAAACATATTAAATCACACTCATCCCCTATTTTAAACCCTCACAGGCTTCCTGACTCCATGCCAGGCTGTGCGACTACAGGCAGATGGGGCTCTGAGTGCAGGTGGGGACCTGGCTCAGGGCCTCCCTCCGAGTGTGTGCTGACTGGTGGGGATTGCCCTGGCTGGTGTACGGTGCTGGTGTACAGTGTCCAAGGAGGCCCGTGAGCACCAGAGTGAGGCTCAGCAGAATGAGAATCAGGCTCTGGGGGCAGAGTGGGTGGGCTAGCGGCAGGTCCCTGGGGCACTGTCTATCCGTGGATTCATGCCCAGGCCCCATGCAGGAGCAAATGAGTAGAGACTCAGTGATCATGCATAGGGCACAAGATAGGGATGGGAGCTGGGGTTCCAGGATAAAGCAGAAATCCTAACATCAAAACTACGTCCTGCATCCGGGGAAAGTACTGAACATGCAGCAGAACATAGGCTGCATCAGCAGAAATCCCTCCTATCTAGAGGCAGGGTTGGTGTCCTGAGGTTCTGACTGGGAAGGGCAGACTGCAGAGGTGCTAGCCAGGTTGGCACCAGCTGCACGCAACCGATGCATTCTCACCCCTTTCCAACCTCACCTCCAGCGGGGCCCCTACACCATGGGTTTTGTTTGACGAACGGTGGAAAACAGTCAAGATGTGAGTCAAATGCAAATTTCACCCTGATTTTATCACTAAGGGGGACACGGCCGCTTGCTGACATGACAGTCGGCTGATTTTGAAGCCTGGTGAAAACTAAGGATGGATTATTAAACTCTGGATTTATGTGTTCTGCAAGCAGGGAGCTGTCACTGTCAGAAGTCGACAGAGTTTAGCAGGAACAAGTCACGCCAGACCAACTTCATTTCCTCTGCAGTTTTCTGATAGGAACAGGATGCTGATTAGATTGAAGACAAGTCATAAACACATTATACTGTGAGGCAAGTACAGACTGGACAAAAACACTCACTCACTATATGAGAGAGGGAACCATGCATGATGCTGAGACACAGAACTGGCGGAACCATCTCAAAGCCGTGGAGCAGATGTGTGAAGTCCTGTGGAGCAGGATGGAGGTCTTGGCCAGTGTGCCAAAGGGTCACTCCTATCCCATTCTCTGCATGTGGGATGGATACACTGGCATGTTATGCCCATTTGAGAGGGAAGATTCATACACTAGAGGTAGACTGAGGATTCAACATGGCCAAACTATCTGTCTGAAAGGGAGCCAGCATTCGCCTGCAAGCACTTTAGGATGGGCTGAGGAAGGTATGGAGCAAGAGCTCATCAAGGCAGGAAGAGCTGCAGCGGAATGGAGCTTCAGCATGAGTTCCCACCAGTGATGCACTTATCCCAAATGCCCATGCAACCTCCGTGGCATTAACAGAGTCAGGGTTACAAAGGGGCAGCCCCCATATTCTCATAGAGTCAGCTGCCAGTGTGGTCAGTCTGGAATGTGACATTTAGAGGGGGCCATACCATGCTGGATTACCTCCTGGAGGGGCTTTTGGGAGAAGTAAGGATCTAGAAGCCGTGCCATGTAATAACTAAAGGACTGGAGAAGTTTAGCCCCAGAAAACACAATGAGCAGGCAGCAAGGCTGGAACACTGTCATGGGGAATAAAAGCTTAAGCACCAAGTTTCCCTCCAGAAGCCAGAGTCGGATTCAGGATGCAGTCATAAGATAGCAGGTGACAAGGAACATGGAGCACGGGGGACTGGCTGTCTTCAGAGGGGTAGTGAGCTGCTCACCACCAAGGGTATTCAGGTGGAGGCCAAGTGCCCAGGTATCAGGGTTGAAGGGAAGGGCATTCCTGCTGGGTGATAGGAAGGCAGACTGGAGAGTCCCCAAGTCTGAACAAACTGCCAAAACTTTCTCAAGCATCTCACCATCCCAGGCATCCAGAGGACCCGGAATCCACCTCACTGTTGGCTCTATGCCACGGGTGTGAAGTACTTTCCTGAAGGGGCAGAAGTGATTACACTCAGCACAGGGAGGAAGCAGGATGTGGGGCTGCCTACCAGAAAGCCATGTCAGCTCCTGGCCACCCCCCACCGCCCTGCTTGTCAGCTCTCTCGAGATTCCCAGACTGAATCAACATGAGTTGCTTAATTTCTCTGCGTCTCTGTCCTGGAAGATGGCTTTTCTGGAAAACTCATCCTTGCAGGCAGTGTGTTCCTCTAGAGAAATCTGAGCATCGGGGTTCTAACTCACAGGCTGGAAAATGGAGGCCAGGTATTGCTGAGGAATGTCTCCTCTAAAAAAGGTAACAAGACAGACTGGTAAATAGCAGACCTTCAGGGCATACCACGTTCACCTGGGCAGATCACCTGGTGAGGTCCTTAAGGCCCACCTGAGACCAGAACTGGAGAAACGATCCTCATAATTGGAACAAACAATATGAGCTTTATTCTTCTGGAAGATCACTTCTGGTTCTGTTTGCAGATGAAGGAGAGGGAAGAGACAAATTGTGCACAGCAGGGAAGCAAAGTCAGCCTCTGACTGCATCTTTCGGGTTGGTGTTAACTGAATGGCTCAGACTTCCTGCATCAGCAATGGGCAGGCAGCAACTGGGCCTTTAAAAAAAATTATAAGGAAAATGACTGTTTAGTTCTGACACATGACAGGCTGGCTTGAAAGAAGATAGGTTCTCTTTATTTTTTCAGAAGGAGTTTCACTCTTGTCGCCCAGGCTGGAGTACACTGGGACGATCTTGGCTCACTGCAACCTCTGCCTCCTCGGTTCAAGCAATTCTCCTGCCTCAGCCTCCCAAGTAGCTGGGATTACAGGTGCCTGACACCATGCCCAGCTAATTTTTTGTACTTTTAGTAGAGACGGGGGTTTCACCATGTTGGCCAGGTTGGTCTTAAACTCCTGACCTCAGGTGATCCACCTGCCTTGGCCTCCCAAAGTGCTGGGATTACAGGCGTGAGCCACGGTGCCTGACCTCGAGCATAGGTTCTCTTAAAGCAGTGGTTCTTAACCAGTGGCAACTTTGCCCGCCAGGGAACACTGAGCCATGTCTGAAGACAGTTTTGCTTGTCACAATGGGCTGGGGTTGCTGCTGGCATCTGGTGAGTAAAGGCCAAAAATGCCACTGAACCTGCAATGCACAGGGCAGTCTCCACAACAAATAATTATCCGTTCTAAAATGTCACTAGATGAGATGGAGTTGAGAAACTACTCAAAAGCCACCGAAGTGCAATTGATCTCAAAGCCTTGCTTGGCACACAGTCCACTTGTGGTGTAAGCAGGAAAGGATGTGGGGAGCTCACTGGGATCTGTTTAATATGGCTTGTCATTTGGTACTTAGAATTGAATAGGCTTGAAGAATGCTCTCTTTTCTGCCAAAGGAAAAGATGAAAACCTGAACCCTACAATTCTAGAGCTCTTGGCTTTCTTTGAAAGCCAGAATTAACTTTCTTGTCCACTGGTTCAGGAACCAACCCTTCTGTGAAGTCAGAAGTGTTTCCATAACATCTCAACACCTTTTCCACGGGGTAGAATGTCGTGGGATGAGGATAGAGTAAACTCATGCTACCGAGCCCTGGAAATGACCCAAGAACTAAGGATCTCATTTAGACTCTATGTCAACACTGTAGCGTAGACCTGAATATCTCATTTTTCACAGATGATGAAACCGAGAGGCCAAGTGGTCTTGTGGAAACTCCAGGCCCATTTCCCAGCGTAGGCCTTTGACTCCCAAGTCTCCCAAGCTCTCTCTGCTAAAACTCTGGTTTTCAAATTTGGATCCTTGGTGCATGGCTTACCGGGCAAAGGATGGGGGAAAGGGGTGGGATCTGAATGTGTGGAGGTCAAGGTCCTGACAATGTGATAATGATATAAGCAGAGCTCTCCCCTTTCTCTCTTCTGCCCCGTGTAAGGTTTTTGTACTGGGTTGAATGACGATCCTCAAAAAAAATATGTCTATGTCCTGGAACCTGTGAATGAGACCTTATTTGGAAAAAGGGTCTTTGCAGATGTAATTAAGTTAAGGATCTTGAGATGAGATCATCCTGGGCTACCTTAGTGGGCCCATAAATCCAAGTGTCCTTATAATAGACACACAGAAAAGAGAGAAGGGGAGCAGAGGATGCCAGTAAAGCCACAGACATGAGTTACACAGTCACAGACCAAGGAACGCCTGGATCTATCAGAAGCTGGAAAGGCAAGGAAGGATTCTCCCCTGGCTTCTGGAGGGAGCACAGGTCTGCTTGATTTCAGATTTATGGTGTTTAGAACCATAAGATAATAAGCTTGTGTTGTTCTAAGTCACCAAGTTTGTGGACAAAAATACAGTTTTTGCGTAAAGTTGTTGCATAGTCTCAGAAAACCAATCTTTTGTTTAAAGAAAAACAGGCCCATTGCCAAAATTTGAAAACCACTACCCCTGGTGGGTCATCTCTCTCAGATCTTGTATTCACTTAAGTCCAGAGCACAGACACAGAAAATAAATGTTAAAGAAAGGCTGAGTTCAGTTGGTTATAATGAGCCGACAACAACAACCACCAAAAAAGAAAAAGAAAAAGAAAAAGAAAACAAAGGTTGAGTAAATAATGGCTTGAGGCTGGGTTGGGCCAAATCTCCTTTTAAACACACAATGCATTAGCCAGTGAGGAAAAAAAAAAAAAACCAAAAAAAAGAATGGTGGTTACGCTTATCAGGCTTCGCATTTTTAATTTCTTCCAAAAGGCCTCCATTTTGCACCATCCAAATCCCTTGAAACCTATGAACTAACTGGAAAGCTATTGGAATCCAGGAGGGAAAACGCACAGTGCAAGTGTTGCCTTTGCTATCCAGGCATCTCACACAAAGTGCGTCATAGGGAAGAACCGATTTGTGCCATTAATTGTACCCTTGGTGACAGCTGAAAAAAGGACCCTGGTTGAGAGGCCTCCTTAGGTTCTAGTGCAAGTTACACAGTAGAAGGAACAAGAGCTCATCACGCCCAGGCCCCCAGATTACGACTAAGACACATCCAGTGTGGTCTGCCTGCCAGGAACAACTGCAAACACAGACACAGCCGCCTGTGATCAGTCTTTGGATTCCATCCAGTCCTCCCTTCAAGGTGGGGATGCAGAGAGCCCAAGAGATGAAAGGACATATCCCCAGGTGTCACGACTGAAGAACTGGGGCCAGAGGAGAGGCCACGGCCCACCCCAGACTCTGCTGCTCTGCCAGTGGCCTGCGTTCCCTCCTACACTGCCGGGCCAGTGTTGTCCATCAGGAAGAGTGCTCTGTGCCACCAATCACTTTGTAAAATCTAGTGCTGGCGGACAATTATTCCGAGATGGGTGACACTTAGCTTCAAATGACTCCATTTCTGACGTGTGTTTTTTCCCCTGAACATATATTTTTTAAAAGGCAAAAAGGGAAGTGACTACAGCTTTCATTTCATCTGTTTCCAAGTCCAAACTACAGCCCAGCATGCAGAGCCCTCCACACTGTCCTGTGTCTTCATTTGCCTTGCTCGCTGCCAAATGCGAGGATGGTGTGCTGGTGTGCTCTCTGAATGCTTGCCCTGCAGACAGTGGGCCTCTCCAGGCTTGGGCAACCTGTCTTCATCCTCACGCTCCCTGGCAGGCACCGGCCTCGCATGCATGCAGCACCCAACCGCTCCTCAACCATCTCAGGTCACGTGCCCCCAGGAGGGTATTTCCAACGTCCTGGCCAAAGTTCCTGCTCACTCTCTAGTCCTCCAGCCAGGGAGAGTCCTGCTTCTTTCAGTGGTTGTACTTAACAAATTCCCAGAAAAGGGGGCAAAAGAGCTATGCCCCTTTAATCCTGGCTTTCTCTTTTTCCCTCTCATATGATTGCTTTTCTGTGTTCCTTGTGCCTCATATATATTGCTGATCTCAATTACTGACTTTAAAAGAGGGATGTGTATATATATATTTAATTGTGATAAAATGTCCATAACATAAAATTTACCATCTTAACCATTTTTAAGTATATAGTTCAGTATACCTAAAATATCTAACAGATGTTTTTAAATGGTGGAAATTCAAATTTAAAAGTAGAGAGAATAGACTAGAAGAATGAAGGCACAGATACCTCTCACTAGTCACAACCATCATCAACTCACAGTCAGGGTTCCATCTCTGCCCCCTCCCACTCCTCCATCCTTATGTTAAAGCAAATCCCGAATATCATTTCCTCCATAACTCTGTCTCAAAAAAAAAAAAAAAAAAAGTCTAGAGTGTTGCTCTGTCACCCAGACTGGAGTGTAGTGGCCTGATCTTGGGTCACTGCAACCTCCACCTCCTGGGGTTCAAGCAATTCTCCTGCCTCAGCCTCCTGAGTAGCTGGGATTACAGGCATGCGTCATCCCACCTGGCTAATTTTTGTATTATTAGTAGAGATGGGGTTTCCCCATGTGGGCCAGGCTGGTCTCGAGTTCCTAACCTCAGGTGATCTGCCCACCTTGGCCTCCCAAAGTGCTGCGATTACAGGCGTAAGCCACCGCACCCGACCCTCCGTAATTATTTCAAGACATGTTTTTGAAAGATGAAAACAAAGCTACAATGCTATTATCCTGTCCCCAACATTTAGCAATAATTGTACAAGGCTGTTTAACTTTCGAAGTCCCTTCACATGCCTGAACTCCTTTACCCTCCAAACAATGGTACGAGGTGCCATCAAACCCATTTTGAAAGCCAGGAAACTTCGAGATGCTCAGAGAGCGTGAGTGATTTCTTAAGGCCCTGGATATTTCAATTTAGGCTCACGTTTTCTTTCCACCCTGCCTCCGCCTCTTTGGGAGAATGACTTGCTTGAAGCAGTCGGTTCTGAACGAGCCTGATGCCAACGCAACAGAATAGAGTCTTCATCGTGCTCGACCTAATTCGGGTAGCCTACCAGTTTGGCTTCTTTAAACATTTTCACTTTCTTATTATAAAAGTATAAAAGTTACTGCAGCAAGTCATCTTAACTATTTCCCGTTTTATTTTTAATCTTTTGTGGGGAGAGGCAAGAAAGGAACCAGGAAGTTATGTCGCCTGGGTGGGTTCTCAGCCACAGCTCCCGGGGAGGGCTTTCCCCAGTGATTCACTTCGTGACTCATTCATCATTTTCCCCAGCAGAGCTCGAGTGAGGGATGGGAGTGTTCAGATGAGAGGGAAGGGCAAGTGCAAAGGAATACTCAATGCTGAAGGTTGCCTCCTCCCCCAGCAGGTCCAGCTCTCATTCTGGGATCCCTCTGCCCCCAAGGTCCTGGTAACCTGTAGACGGGCAGGGATTTTGACAGAGCTGGAAGCAAGAGGCAGGACTGGATCACACAAGCCAGGTTTAGGTCACCTGGAGTGACACCTCCCTTGCGTAGTGAATGCAAAGACTGCCTTCTTTCTCTGGCTGTTTGCTACCAACATAAGTCCTTGCAGAAGCAGGTCACTGCATGAAGGGCATGACCTTTCAGTGAGAACTACCAAGTCTTGGCCCCTGTACATAAAATATTTTATTTAATTCTCGTAACTCCTATCACACTGCACTGAAATTATCTGCGTATCTATCTGGATTGGTCTGTTAGATCAGGGTTCCTCAACCTCAGCACTACTGACATGACAAAGTGAGTAATTCCTGGCATGGGGCTGTTCTGGGCATTGTAGGATGTTCAGCAGCATCCCAGGCACCTGCCTGTTAGATCCTGGTAGCACCCTCTATCTCCCATCATGACAACCAAAATTATCTCCAGCTATTGGCAAATGTCCCCTGGGGGGAGTGGGGGGTGGCGGGGGGGGGGCGGGGGGAGCCCTTGAATGAGAAGCACTGATTTGGAGCATGGAGTTATTGAGGGGAAGAACCTCGGTCTTATTTCTCTTTGTCTCCCTATCGCCCAGCACAGTGCCTAGCACAGAGTAGGAATCTCCAAATATTCATGAATCTCTAGGAATCATCACCGTGTGAAGGAGTTGTGTGACCCAGCGTGTTACAGGTGGGGCGAATGAGGCACAGAGAGGTTCTGAATGTCCAGTGTCACACAGCTGTGAGTGACAGGGCAGGTGAGTCCAAAGCCTGCGTGAGTGGTGGGAGCTAGCAGGTAGCTCAAAAGAGGAGCTTCACTTGGGATCTTTCTGCTTTCTAGTTCTGGCCACCAAAGGGATGAGGCTGTTAACACCATTCGGACAGAACATTCCAAATGCCTGCAGCTGTTAATTAATAAGGAGCATGTTCAGAGGCTTGCTTTAGTATGAGGCCTCTGTGCTGTCTTGATCAAAGTGACTGGAGCGTTGTGGCCCCAGCAAGCATGAGAAGAGCAGGGTTAATTTTTAAAAATTTCTCTAGAAACTTAAACTTGAGAGTAAATGATGAATGATAATTATTTGAACCAGGTTTGCAATATGAAGTGGCCAGAGGAAGCTCATGCATCCCAGTGTGGTTGGGCTATGAATGAATTTAGTTATAGCGCTGAAACGCTGTCTTAATTAGGTTTGGATTCTGCTTCCCTTTTCTGAAGAGGAAAGTAGAACAGAGTAAACCATCTGATTCATCTCTGAAAGTGGGAGTAAGGTGGGGGTGGGGGAATGGACTCACGTGGTTTGCAATCTGAGAGCTAATTTGCTGAGCAGAAAAGTCTAATTTCTAACTCTATCACAGCTAAGTTTTCCTTCAAAACATGCTAATTATGAAAGACACAAATAGCTTCGTGCCGCTCTATCACGCCTGCACCATCTGATTTCGCTTGGCAGTATTATTAGGAGGTAGCCTGGCCAAGTACTGCTATGGTCTGAACGTTTGTGCACTCTTACTTGCCAAATTCATGTTGAAATCCTAATACCCAGGGTAATGGTATCAAGAGGTGGGGTCCTTGCGAGGTGATCAGGTCATGAGGGTGAAGCCCTCATGAATAGGGTGAGTGCCCTTAAAAAAGAGGCTCCAGGGAGCTGCCTCACCCCTTCCCGCAGAAGAGGACACAGTAAGAAGGTGGCCGTCTATGAATCAAGAAGCTGATCCTCACGAGACACTGAATCTGCAAGTGTCTTGATCTTGGACGTCCCCGCCTGCAGAACCATGACAAATACATTTCTGTTGTTTATATGCTGCCCAGTTTATGGTATTCTGTTACAGGAGCCCAAAAGGACTAACATAGGTGTGATTCCTTCCAAGCCGGCTAGTAGCTACAAGGGAAACCACAAAGAGTAGTCTGCACTGACGCTTCTGGCTCTAGACATCCAGTTCCAAAAGGTGCAGCACCATCTACTTGCAGTTAGACGATGCTTAATGAGTCTTATTTAATGACCCAATTGATAACACTTGACACCAGGTTAATGGCTTTACTATATCATGCATGTACTTCTCCTGATTGTGAATGTGTAAGAAGTCTAGTGCATTTGTGTTAGGAGGAAGACGAGTAGACAAAGATAAAAGATTCCAGTTCAGTCTCTTAATGTCATTCCCGTAGTCAACTTTCCTATGCTGTAAGAATAGTCTCACTTCTCCCTCGGGGATGTAGGCTACATGACCTACGTGAGGGCTGAGGTGAGGGCAAGGCAGCCCAGGCTGAAGAAACCACACGGGAAGCAGAGGGAGGAGGGGATCGAACTTGGCCTCACTGGGGCATCACTAGGAATCCATCTCCCTTCTTAATGCAAAGCTGGAGCAAACATCCTCCTACCCCTGCATGGTGTACAGGGCTCTGGGCTCCTATTCCCTTGGCCTGAGGGAGCAGGGGGTGTTTGTGGCAACACAGCAGTGGGCATGATGGCCTGCAAAAACATACCTCCTGGTTGCCATCAGTGAGACTGGTCCTCAACATTTCTCCTATTTAAGCTCTAGCTGACTCCCTCACTCTTCTCTCCTAATATTTACATACAAGGTGTGAAGAAGCAAACTCCCAGAAGACTCCCTGAGACACCCTGGGACTGCATATGAGTTCTCATTACGCTCCTCCATAGGCCTGTCCTTTCAGGTTTGAGTTAGGGAGTTTCCTACGCACAGAGAAGTTGCAATATTGAGTGATGGTACCCAAGGGATCTGGGACAGAAGGTCCCTTTGAAAACACGGCCACAACAAGTCCTCACCACTGCCAGCCATAGAGAGGGCAGCAGTGATGGTGACACTGATGACAACGGCCAACCTTGACAGGGCACCCGGCAGGCAATGGGCCCTGGCTGAGCACAGTCCGTGCGGTGTCTCATTTGCTCCTCAGCTCAATTCTACAAGGCAGGCGCTATTCTTAGGCCCACTTCATGGATAAGGAAACTGAGGCTCAGAGAGGCTTCTATAAGCAACCTGTCCAGATCCACACAAACAGAGTAAATAGAAGAATATGGACTTGAACTCACCAGTAAGACACATTCTCATTTCTTGCAATAAACCAGATATGTCTTGTTCAAGAGTGTTCAGGTTTTGCATTTCTCAGAAGCTGTTTTCTTTAACAATAACTGAAATTGTGGCTGTTTGTTCAGCATCCCAGACCCTATGGATGCATATTGTCATTCACTTTGTCAAAATGCCAGAAACAGCACAACAATTTTCTCCGATTTTTGAGATGAGGGTACTGAGGCTTAGAGCTGGTAACTGGTGAAGCCAGGATTTGAACAGGTTCTTTCCGTTGGGTCACTCTTCCCCTGAAGAGCCTGAGGGCATCCTATGAGTGCTTGGCCTCTCTACCAACTCCCCCTCTGGAATCTAGACTTGACCTGGCCTCTTCTCTTCCCCTTCCTTCAAGAGGGATGCAGCAGGTTAATGCTTGGAGGCTGTTTGGAATTTCTTCTCCAAGAAATCCTGCCCTCCACTGAGGATGCTCCCACACTGGAGACTCTCACAGGAAGGATGGAGGGTGGCTGGTCCCCACTCCTCCTCTGGTGGTTTCACCTTTGTGAATGTTGCCCGTAAGAAAGCTCACTACTTTCCATCTAAGGAAAGTTTCCTGGGAGCTTCCTGGCCTCTGAGCCGTGTCCTCACTGCCTTTCCTAACAGGCTCAGGAAACCTTTTTTCTTTTAAACTTCCCAGTGAGGGGCTCAACAGGACCAGCACATAACTTCTTCTCCACTTTAAACCAGGAATAGTTGTAAATGTTTTAATATCAGATGGTGGTGATGGTTGTGCAACTCTGTAAAATGTGCACGTAAAATGAGTGAATTTTATGGTATATAAATTATACCTCAATAACATTGTTAAAAAAAGAAGGAAATAACATGATTTCTTGAAAAGAGCTATAAAGGGGTTTGAGCACATGGATCCCCCTTAATTACTGCAGGAAATAGGGGCCACTTGGGAAAGGCGGCCATACAGTTATGGCAACTCTACTGAATTATTTAGCCTAGCCTCCTTTTTTCCTTGCAGAAAAACTGGAGTTGAGACTCCAGTTTGTCTCCATTCATCCTAACTCTTCTTTAAAAATTTTATTTTTAATTTTTATGAATACCTAATAGTTGTACACATTTATAGGGTACATGTGATATTCTGATACAAGCATATCATGTGTAATGATCAAATCTGGGTAAATGGCCGGGTGTGGTGGCTCACACCTATAATCCCAGCATTTTGGGAGGCCGAGGTAGGTGGATCACCTCAGGTCAGGAGTTTTGAGACCAGCCTGACCAACATGGTGAAACCCTATCTCTACCAAAAATACAAAACAAAATTAGCCTGGCGTGATGGCACACGCCTGTAGTCCCAGCTACTTGGGAGGCCGAGGCAGGAGAACTGCTTGAACCCGGAAGGCAGAGGTTGCAGTGAGCTGAGATCGTGCCACTGAACTCCAGCTTGGGTGACAAAGCTAGACTCTATCTGCAAAAACAAACAAACAAACAAACAAACAAAAAACGTGGGTAACCGGTATATCTATCACCTCAACCATTATGTTGGAAACATTTCAAATCTTCTCTTCTAGCTATTTTTAAAAATATAATAAATTATTAACTACAGTCACCTTGCTGTGCTATTGAACACTGAAATGTATTTCTTCTCTCTAACTGCATTTTTGTACTCATTAACCAATCTGTCTTCATTTCCCCTTCCTCCCTACCCTCCAGCTGCTGGTAACCATCATTCTAGTCTCTCCCTCCATGAAATCAGTGTTTTTAGCTCCTACATATAAGTGAGAACATGCAATATTTGTTTTTGTGCCTGGCTTATTTCATAACGTCTTCCAGTTCTATCCATGTTGCTGCAAATGACAGAATTTAATTCCTTTTTTTGGCTGAATAATATTCCATTGTGTCTATGTATCACATTTTCTTTATTCATTCATCCGTTGATGGGTACTAATGTTGATTTCATATCTTGGCTATCGTGAGTAGTGTTTGAATGTAAGACTTGAAACTATAAAACTACTAGAAGAAAACACTGGGGAAGACACTTTAGGACACTGGTCTGGGCAAAGATTTCTTAAGTAGGACCTCAAAAGCACAGGCAGCCAGAGTACAAAGTAACAAATGGGATTAAATTAAGCTAAAAAGCTTCTGCACAGCAAAGGAAACAACTAACAAAGTGAAGAGACAACCCATGGAATGGGAAAGAATATGTGAAAACTGTTCATCTGACAAAGGATTAATAACCAGAATATACAAAGAACTCAACCAACTCAACAGCAAAAAAAACTAAGTAATTGGATTTAAAAACAGTCAAAAGATCTGAAAAACATTTCCCAACTACCTCTTACGCTCTGGGAAGGTTCAGCAGGCGAGAAGGGGAGAAGGGGAGGACCTCGAAGCCAAGTTCAGCATCAGGTGCCTCCATGGGGGTCACTGATGAAAGCCTCAGCAGGGCTCTGTTAGGAGACTATCTCTAGTGTTAGGCTCATGGCTTGAACAGATGCAAGATCAGGCTGTTGGAGAGGTTAACTTATGCTCAGTCACTGATAACCTCAGAGTAAACACATCCCTAAACTGTGTTCATCCCATCTATGAAATGGGAATAGCCTTTCATAGGCTGCTCAAAGGGTTCCACAGGATAATGGAAAAAGCAAAAAACAAACAAAAGAACAACAACAATAAAACAATGCCTGCCTGGCTTCATGATTTTTTTGTTTGTTTGCTTTTTGAGATGGAATCTAGCTCTGTTGCCCAGGCTGGAGTGCGGTGGTGCGATCTTGGCTCACTGCAACCTCCGCCTCCCAGGTTCAAGCAATTCTCCTGTCTCAGCCTCCTGAGTAGCTGGGACTACAGGTACGCGCCACCATGCCTGGCTAATTTTTGTATTTTTAGTAGAGACAGGGTTCCACCATATTGGTCAGGCTGGTCTCAAACTCCTGATCCATCCACGTCAGCCTCCCAAAGTGCTGGGATTACAGGTATGAGCCACCACACCCGGCCCATTTTTTAAAAAGTTTCATTACACTACTTAAAGCAACCAACTGCAGGTGGAGTTTAACTAATTTCATTCAGTCTTCACAATAACCCTCTGTAATGGTTCTTACTGTTCCCATTTTATAGACAGGGAAAGAGAGGCTTGCAGAGGTTAGGACACATGTCCAGGTCACTTGGCTAACAGGTGGCAGAGCTGGGATTTGCAGCTGAGCCTGTCTGGCTTTGAGAAAACTGACACTACACCATGCCATTACACCGAGGACTCCACCCACATTTCCAGGGTTTGGACTGAAATGGGTTTAACTGGATATCTATGCACAAGGGGTCCCGATCAGCATCTGTCACATTAATAAAACATCCATCTTTGCTGAGGTCCACACTCTCAGTTAACATGACCATGTTCTCAAAATGAACCCTGGTAAAACATCAGAGCGTATCTGGTTCCCAAAGGGATAAATTCCCTCTAGCCTGGAGCTTAGTATTTATAAGCAGAACCTGAGCTAACCTTAAGGCGTTATTCTGAGCTGCCCATTTTGGTTGTTCTTTTTGGGTGACCTGATAGCCCAGGCTAAGCTGTTTTCTGTCCCAAGGTTTTTCTTCTCACCAACTCCCACTTTGAGAAATGCTGAGGTTCCAAAGGTCTGGGTCCACAGAGCTGTACCTTCTGACTTACTGAGAGGGACCTGCAGGAGGCGGGCAGGCCCTGATTCAGAAGCCATCCCAGGGCTGCCCTGTGGTGGGAGAAAGGTTGGACACTGATTTCCAGGGAAAGCCTTAATGAGCATCCAGCAGAGGGACCACAATGATAACACCCACAGCCACGCTCCAAGTGGTAGTCAGGTACAGGAGCCGGAGCCCGAGAGAGTGACCTGGCATGTCAGAGACTGCCTCTGGACCACAGCTCTGGATCTCGCCACCCCAAAATAACTCCCCTAACAGCTTGCCAGTGTCTGAAAGTCCACAATTAGAAATTCACTCTTCAGGCCAACCAGTCTCCTGTTGCCAAGCCCTTCTCTTTCCAAGCCTTCTAAGGTGCTGCCAACAGAGTTGCCTTCTCTAGGACACAAACTTGACCACACGAACCCCCTCCTCAAAACTCATTAGTGGCTTGATTCTTCATTGCCTTCCGGATGCAATTCACACTTCCCACATGGACCACACGGCACTCGGGCCCCTTTGCAGAGTTCCCTGCCTGGCATGATTCAGGCCACTGAATCCTTGCTTTTCCCAGGATGACTGACCCGACTTGGACCCAGGTCAGCCTGCTCCTTGAGCTGTCCCCACAAAATTCAGACAGAATGCAAATGTCACCTCCTCCATAAAACTGCCACTTACTCACTCATTTTGCAAAAACTTTTACCATCTGAAACCCTTCCCGGAACAGAATCAGAATAGTGTGTGTGTGTTTGCTGTCCTAGTACAGGATTTTGAAGGCTCAGAGTTAGGTAACACTCAGGTCTTCCTCAGTTGGATTTCCCCAGTGTTCAGGGTTTGCTCTTCATCCTGTTTTGACAAGGCCTCCAGGAGGGGCCCGGGGCAACATGTAGTGACGTAAGGCAGTGGGAGCTCCAGGGAGGGCTGGGTGTGAGTTGGGGCGCTGTCTGTCAATGCCATCTGGATGGTGGCAGATGCGTGACTGCCACAGGGTTGCCAAAATCCAGATCTTGCCCTGTATCACCCAGAGCCTTGACATGACCATGTAGCTAAACCCTTGTGGCTCCCAAAGGGGAGGCCCTTGTGTAAGGATGTACATGTGCATCCACAAACAAACCCATAGGAGCGTCTAACAGGGTGATGGGTTGCCTAGGAGGACAACCCGGCAGGCTCCTGGTCCTTCTGGCCTGTTTTGCTAGCATGCTGTTCAACTCTCTGCTTTCCTGAGGGCCTGGAACCTCCTGTAGCTCCCCATCTCCACCACGGTGGCCAGTGGGGATGGACAGTGGGTGCACCTCCTCCACCTCTTAGCTTTCTTAGGATCTTCCCAACAGCCAACAGCCCTATTAGCTCTTTGGGTTTTAGAGATTTCATAGCTAATCCCAGTAAGAGGACACTTCTGGAGTGATTCAGTGAACAAACGCTTGGGAAGTCTCAGTCTCTCAGGACCTTCAGAGGGGCAGCTACTAAGGAACTAGGAGTTTGAATCAAATGCCAGTGGGGAGTGGAGAGAAGATCTCTTCTGCTGTGCATCTCTTCCTCTTTGATCCCTGGGATGGAACTCAGACAAGCCCTCCCTTTCATCCATGTCCACATTCATTTCTGTCCACTCTCAGTCTGATATTTGTGATCCTGAAATATTATTAGGGCTGAGCTGTGGGCATGAGCCAGTCAGCCTCTAAACACCCCTAGACTCATGGAAGGAGAGGGGAAACCCAGAAGAACAAGGATCATTTATTAGGCACCTATGTATACCAGACCCCAGTGCAAAGGTAGAAAAGAGGGAAAATGCTAATTCACAAACATTAATTTACAAACACTTACTCACCGAACACGTATAAGGCACGTCATTAATTACTGTGGATGTCAAAATATGAGACAGTGCCTGCAGGAGCTCAGATCCAAATATAGCCATGAACTGTGTAACAAATGTTTCAGTCAATGATGAACCTCGAATACAATGACAGTGGTCCCATAAGATAATAATGAAGCTGCAAAATCTCCATCACCCAATTATGTCTTGATGATCCTGATTCTGGGTAGGCCAAGGTTAATGTGTATGTTTTATCTTAGTTTTTAACAAAAATGTTTAAAAAGTGAACAAAAATAAAAATTTTATTAAAAAGTACCGGCCGGGCACAGTGGCTCATGCCTGTAATCCTAGCACTTTGGGAGGCTGAGGCGGGCAGATTGCCTGAGCTCAGGAGTTCAAAACCAGCCCGGACAACATGGTGAAACCCCGTCTCTACTAAAATACAAAAAATTAGCCAGGCATGGCACTGTGCGTCTGTAGTCCCAGTTACTTGGGAGGCTGAGGCAGGAGAACTGCCTGAACCCCGGAGGCGGAGGTTGCAGTGAGCCGAGCTTGCGCCACTGCACTCCAGCCTGGGTGACAGAGCGAGAGTCCGTCTCCAAAAAAAAAAAACTCGGCTCACTGCAACCTCTGCCTCCCAGGTTCAAGCGTGCCTCAGCCTCCCGAGTAGCTGGGATTACAGGCGTGCATCACAGCGCCCAGCTAATTTTTGTATTTTTAGTAGAGACAGGGTTTCGCGATGTTGGCCAGGCTGGTCTTGAACTCCTGACCTCAAATGATCTGCCTACCTTGGCCTCCCAAACTACTGGGATTACAGGCATGAACCACCGAGCCCAGCTGGCTAAGGTTAATTTATTTGTGAAGAAAATTTTTTTGAAATAAATGTAGTGTAGCCTATGGTACAGGAGTGTACAATACTGTCCTAGGCATTCACATTCACTCACCACTCACTCACTGACTCACCCAGAGCAACTTCCAGTCCTGCAAGCTCCATTCATGGTAAGTGCCCTCTATAGGTGTACCACTGTTTATCTTTTATGCTGTAGTTTTACTGTGCCTTTTCTATGTTTAGATACACAAATGCTTACCGTTGCGTTGCAACTGCCTACAGTATTCAGTACAGTCACATGCTGTACAGGTTTGTAGCCTAGGAACAACAGGCTACACCCTATAGCCTAGGTGTACGGTAGGATACACCATCTGAGTTTGTGTGAGTACACCCTGTGATGTCCCCGCAATGACAAAATTGCCTAACGACGCATTTCTCAGAAAGTGTCTTCATCATTAAGCCATGCATGACTGACTACAGTGATATGCACTTATCAGGCTGTGTTAGGGCTCTGGGCAGCAATGCTGGTCTGATGAGGTCACAGGGTCTTCTGTGCTAAAGGAGGCCTCAGTGTAGAGACCCCTGCATCGATACAGCCCTCTTCTCTCCACCAATGTGAATTTTGATATCTAAATCCAGGGAAGCCAGCCACTAGGCTTACTGTGGAATGAGCAGCCCTGGGCTCCTCGTGTGCCATCTGGTCGGGGGCACAGAGCTCACGGTGGGCACACTGCCAGCCGCTGCTCACAGGCGGGATAATGAGTGAAGTGACAAGCTTCCCTGAGGGCCAGGCATGTGTCCTGTGAAGCCCTGGGGAAAAGTGCTGGACAAGGGTGACGGAAGAAGCATGGGGAATGTGACACTCCTGAGGATGGACCCATGCTGCCAGAGAAAGTGGTGTGTGCCCCGGTTGCAAAGGGCTTTGGGAAGTTATGGAACCCAGCCCCCTGCCTGAGGGCAGAGAGAAAGCTAAACCAGCCCAGCCACAGGGCACCCGACAGCTTCTTGGAAACAGACAGGTAACAGTGTCCTTGCAGAAACCTGTTCTAGCACGCTGGCTTTGGCCTTTCTCTGTGACAGGAAACACCCCCCTAGGGAAGAGGTTGATCTACTTGGTAAGAGAGGGTGGAGATGGAAAGGGGAAAGCTCAGTTACCCCGAGACTTCCAACTGCTTCCCCAGCTGCTGATATACCATGACAGAGCAGTGACAGAGTGGGTTGGATAGTGCCTTCAAACAGATACTGCTCCAACCCTGACGCCAGCACTTGTGAGTGCGATGCATTTGGAAATAAGAGTCACTGAAGATGAAATGAAGGATCTCAGGATAGGCTCTAAATACAATGACTGATGTCCTTCTAAGAGAAAGGAGAGAAAGACACAGGCACAGAGGGGAAGGCCATTGCAGGCAGAGATTGAAGGGACGTGTCTCTAAGCCAAATAACACCTCGCATTGCCAGCAACCACCAGAAGGCAGGCGGGGCAGGCACAGATTCTTCCTTAGAGCCTCCAGAAGAAGTTAACCCTAAGACACCTTGATCGTGGAGTTCTGGCTTCTAGGACTGTGAAAGAATACATTTGGGTTGCTTTGAGCCACCCAGTTTATGGTACTTTGTTTCTGCAGCCCCAGGAAAGCATTATCCCTGATGGGGACTATGGTGATGTGGGTTTGGAATATTCATCTCCCAGAGAACACTAGGTGTCCCTACGTGAATGGGGTGATGGGCCACATTTGCCTGTTCTTCTCTTCCATGGGATAGCAGGTGGGGTCATCCAGTGGGGTGTAGCCATACCCTGCGGGACACCCAACATCCTATCTTCAAGGTCATCTGAAGGCCATTCCCTTAAAAGGAATGGGCTTAGGGGATGGGTGAGGGGTAAAACTCAATCATTTGGTTGATTTTAACTTACAGAATAAAAGGGGAAAAACTCAATAATGAACCCCATTTATTCTTTATGTATAGGGTTAGAACTCACAGACAGGCCTCTTTCCCTTAAATAGCAGAAAGGGCACTGAACTTAGACTCTCAGGACTTGACCTCAGTTTCTGGATCTGTGGAAACACCCTCCACCTTCTAGAGATGCTACACGGATCAGGCGTGCACAAACACACACACACACACTCACACACTCTCACGCTTATACAGGAACCTAGCGCAGCATTAGAAGATGGCTGCATTTAATCAATAGTGATGATGAGGCTCAAGTCCAAATTCAGCTGACCCCTTACCCGCTGTGTGACCACGGGCAAGTCACACCACTTCTCTGCTTCTTGTTTCCTCACCTGGGAATCTGGGGACAATAGGATGTATCATACTTACAATAAAAAGGAGAGATGGCAAATGCCATTAGCTTTGAACACTGCCCAGCAAAGAGTTGGGCTTTGTTTAATAATAAGCATTATTATTAACCATCATCAAAGCTGGGTCCACATTCAGGTTCTGTTAGTCCCCTGGTGTCGCCGAGGGCAAGGCCCCTCTCCCTTCTGCAACCAAATGTGCTCATTTGTCCACTGAGAAATGGGATGGCTCTGACAGCTCATGCAGCCTCTGATTATCAGTGATTCTTTTAGCTGGCTGGCACATGAGGTTCTAGGAGAACTCGCATCAAGAAGCAGCAGACATTCTGGTCAATGTCTGGAGGCTCAAGCGCTGGGTCTGGATGGGGCTGGATTCTCCATCCCCAAAGGTGGGGCCTGAGGAAAATCTATCTCTCTGGGACTGTGTCCTCACAGATGGACTGGTCTCCTGGTCTGCTTCTGCACTTCTGGGAAGATAGGCACATCAGTCCCTGGGACCCTCTCCATGTTGGGAGTGAAAATCCACTGTATTTTGTTTTTTTCCAAGGACTGTGTGTGATGCTTGGAGCCTGCCAATATTCTCAGTTCTAACCATTATCTTCAGGAAAAAGCAAGCACCTTGAGAGTAATAAGAAAACGAATACAGTAATCTCTCTTCTAAGCTGGCTTTTCCTGAGATCCCTTTGCTCAGTGAAATGACGGGCTGCCAGGCTGCAGGGCTGCCCTAGGGAAGGGGCATGGGACCCACTCTTCCCTCTGCAGCCTTGCCCGAGTTCCAGCCTTCTTACCGGCAGTCCAGGTGGCAATCAGGCCCCAGCACCTTCGGCTTGGAATGACAGAAAGCTAAGAATGGACTTATGTGCCTGCCAGGCTTCCTGAGACGGGCACAGCAGAGCAGCTGGCTGGGTGCTCTGATAGCCCAGAAGGGCAACTGCCAGGCAAGGGCTACCTTCTGGAAGGGCACAGACAGGGAGACCTTGAGATGTTTGGGAATGTATTTTCTGGCAGGAGGGAGAAACTGACATGATGTTTGTCTTTCCATTATGAAAGAATTAACTGGGTAACACAGTAAAGAAACCTAAAAGCCAAATCCTTCCACAGTAAAGAAAGCTAAAAGTGGGAAGGGGTTGAGCTTGTTCTCTCCAATCAACTCTGGATGCTGCAATTTATCCTGAGGATCCTGAAGTCCAGGTACTCCCATAAACCCTACCCATGCTGCTGCCAGCAAGGCTTTCTTAGGCAGGGGACAGTGATAAGAGGTGCCTTTTCTCAGCGGAAAAGTGAAGGTAGAGCGGTGAAGGTCTGAACAGACCTCAACTGGATATTAGAACAATTGCAAATTGTTTGAAAGGGAAATTATAGGGAACATGGCTTTGGAGAGAAGGAAGTCCAAGAAAATAAACACTCTCACTAATACTACATGGGAGGAAGTAATAAGATGAGTCTATAGTTTAAAAGAGAACCCTTGGATCAACTTAGAATTTCCAGTGACAAATGATGGAAGGAGCGTCCTATTTTTAAGGATGGATATAGAAGCGTGGCAGGGACTTCTAAGCGAAGTTATTTGCCCTGCTCTGGCCCAAGAGAGACTAAGGTTCTGAAAAGCAAAGATCTCAGAAAGCCATTTTTTTTTGGAGCAGAAAAAAGCAGGAGCAAAGGATGGGTCTTCAATTTAGAGCAGATGGTTCAGCAAGGAATTGTATTCACTTAACTGTAATTCTGTATGCTTTATTTTGCCTTCAAGGATAATGCTCTTCAACCCCCAAAGGCTGAACAAATGTGGTTACGAAGGAACCGGAACCTGGAAATAAAGGGGAAAGAAGGAAGATACATCTTCAAATGACTTCAAGTCCCCCCTGCAAGCCCCAGGTGTTACTAGATGCAGACAAAACTGCAGACGCAACAAAGACTACATGGGAAAAATATGGAAAAACAGAGAAAATACCACCTAGACTGGCACTAGGTAACTGCTTAGTTTTTAAAGACTGACACAGATTCTGGAAATGACATTAGCAAAATTACAGAGTGAAGTTAACCACGGTTTGTGGATTCTAAAAAATAAAATAAAGGCAATAAATATGAGCACAAAGGGGTGTTCTGAAGACAAATCGAATCTGACTAACCTCACTTCCCATTTTCATAAGGTCATTAGATTGAATAAATTAGGGAAAAACTGATAGATGGTGAATCTCATGTGACAACGTCTTTCCTGATAACCTCGATTCAAGATGGCGGGATGCTGGCTAAAGAAGGGGCCACATGCAGATGCCTGTGGGGTGATGAGTGCAGAGAGCTCAAGAGGCTGCATGTGGCCCAGTCTTTCTCTTGTCTGCCATGGCAAGACCTGTTTGTCAAATGCAGAGAGTGTATGAGGTGGAATGCACAAATCAACACTGTAGGAAATCACAAAAGGATGCAACCACGACGTGGAATACTCAATATGAGAATGAATAAGGAAAGGAAGTTCTGCATTAAGAGGAAAAAAAACCTACACAAGTAGAGACTAGGGGGCTTTGCAAAAACTGACAAATCGAATCTAATTAAACTAAAGAAGTTCTGCACAACAAAAGAAACCATTATCAGAATTAACAGACAACACACTGAACGGGATGAAACTTCTGCAATCTATCCATCTAACAAAGGTCTAATATCCAGAATCTATAAGAAGAATCTTAAATTTGTAAGAAAAATATAAACAACCCCATTAAAAAGTGGGCAACAGACATGAACAGAAACTTCTCAAGAGAAGACATTTATGCAGCCAACAAACATGAAAAAAAGCTCAACATCACTGATTAGAGAAATGCAAATCAAAACCACAATGAGATACCATTTCACACCAGTAAGAATGGCAATTATTAAAAAGTCAAGAAATAATAAATGCTGGCAAGGCTGTGCAGGAATAGGAATGCTTTTACACTGTTGGTGGGAATGTAAACTAGTTCAACCATGGTAGAAGACAGTGTGGCGATTCCTCAAAGACCTAGAACCAGAATTCCCATTTGAC
This sequence comes from Homo sapiens, assembly GCF_000001405.40. NCBI lineage: Eukaryota > Metazoa > Chordata > Mammalia > Primates > Hominidae > Homo > Homo sapiens. Next base: position 92,054,983 of record NC_000015.10, on the reverse strand, counting down.
CCAGCAATTCCATTACTGGGTATATACCCAAAGGAATATAAATAATTCTATTATAAAGATACATGCATGTGAATATTCATTGCAGCACTATTCATAATACCAAGAACATGGAATCAACCCACATGCCCATCAATGACAGACTGGATAAAGAAAATGTGGTACATATACACTATGGAATACTATGCAGCCATAAAAAGGAACAAGATCATGTCCTTTGCAGGGACATGGATAAACCTGGAAGCCATTATGCTTAGCAAACTAATGCAGGAACAGAAAACCAAATACCACATATTCTCACTCATAATGGGAGCTGAACAATGAGAACACATGGACACAGGGAGGGGAACAACACACCCTGGGGCCTGTGGGCGGGGGTGGGTGGAGGGAGAGCATCAGGATAGCTAATGCATATGGGGCTTAATACCTAGGGGATGGGTTGACAGGTGCAGCAAACCACCATGGCACATGTTTCCCTATATAACAAACCTGCACATCATGCACATGTATCCCAGAACTGAAAAAAACAATAATAGAGGGCTTTGACTTAAAAAGCATTTCAGTGAAAAAAGACTTGGGATCATTTTTTGCTTGACTAAAGATTCACTGTGGTGCTACAACTGTTAAAACAAACAAACAAACATAGAAGTGTGCAGGGAAATAAGCATTACTTGCAGTAAATCATTCAATTTTTAGGACAGCTCCACAAGACAGGCACAAAAGCATCCCCATTTTAATACAGCATGAGTCTAGAGCATCTCATAGAGCCAGAAAGTAAAAAGTTGCTGGAAAATGAACATCGATGGGGTACGTCAAAGGGACACAGCAGCCAACTGAAGGAGCCCCCAGTGGCCAAAGCTGGAATGCCTTGAGGAACAAAACATAGCAGTACTGGATTGTAAATCAAAATATAGATTTCCATGCGTCTATACTGACAGAATCAATAACTGAATAAACGGATGGTGAGAACAGACAAGCCTCCCATGCAGAAGAATTCCAAATAATTTATGTAGATGTGCCACTCTCAAGGAGGTGGAGCCCAACTCCTACTCTGTAAGTGTGGGCTGCACACCGTGACTTCCTGCCAAACAGCAGACAAAGAGGAAAAGAGGGCAGCTTCCCAATGGAGAAACCTGACAAACACTCCCTCAGCCAATACCCCCAGTGATAAGTCCTACTGATTGTATGTGCCCTTGATATGATGGGATGAGAATGACAATTTACCTCTGTGTCCTTCCTCTTCCAAACCCATAACCCCAGTTTAACCATGAGAAGTAAAAAAAAAAAAAACAAACAAACAAACAAAAAAACAAAACATAAAATCACAACTGAGGGAGCTTCTACAAAACCCCTAACCAGTACTCCTCAACGCTGTCAAGGGCATCAGAAAGAAGAAAAGTCTGACGAGCTGTCACAGCCAAGAGGAGCCAAAGGAGCCATGATGACTCAATGTAATGCGATGTCCCGGATGGGATCCTGGGACAGAACAGATGATATTAGCGAAAAACTACACGCATCTGAATAAAATGTGGACCTCAGATGATCGCAATGTATTGATACTGGTCATCGGTTGTGACAAATGTTCCATATTAATGTAAGATGTTAATCATGGTGGAAACTGGATGTGGGGTCTGTGGGAACTCTCTGTGCTATCCTCAGAACTCTTCTGTAAATCTATTGTCAAATAAAAAGTGTATTATAAAAAGGGGGCTCCAAGAAGCCACATCTGGAAGCACAGTCCTGCTTGTGAGGCTGTGATTGATGTCTATCTCCCCATCAAACTGTAACCCCAGGAGTGAGAAGACTGTGCTGGTCCTGCTCATCATCCCATCCCACCTCAGCATCTACACGGTGCCTGGCACATAGCAGGCACTCAATGAAGACTTGTGAATAAATGTCCAGAAAAACTTAGGGGCATAAGATACATGCCTTAAAACATCTGAAGGGCTGTTAGATAAAAGGGCTGGATCTAGTTTATTTTGGAAAGTTCTAGAGCCGCACTGTCCAGCAAAAGTATAATGTGGGTCACCTATATAATTTAAATTTTTCTAGTAGCCACAATATAAAAGTAAAAGGAAACAGGTAAAATTGATTCTAACAACATTTTATTTAACTTAACGTAGCCAAAATATTATCCTTTCAACCTGTAAAAGGAAAAAAAAAATTAAAATGTATTTATATAAATATAAAATGTACTTATGCCTATGTATAAATTTTACATTTGTAGTACATCTCAGTGTGGACTGGCCACATTTCAAGTGCTCAGCAGCCACATGCAGAGTGGCTACTATCTGGGACAGCACAGCTCTAGAGGGAAAGACAAGAACTTGGAAATTACATGGAGCCAGGCTGCATATAAGGGAATGCATTTTAACACTGAATCCTGTGTATATGTGGCTGGAATAAAGAACCTTGGGAAGAGCGATCTCCCTGTGACTGAAGGTATCCAATCTGAGGCTGGTCACTGCTTGCTGGAAACTGCTGAGAAAGAACTCTTTCCCTAGCCTGGCATTTGGACTGGATGAACCCTGAGGTCCTATCTAGTTCTTACCCAGGTGAGTCTAGGATTTATGCTCTGGAAGCCAGAAGTCATAATAATGAACATTCATATGATCCCTTACAGAATGCAAAAGGCCAATCTGTCTTCCAGTGTCTCCAGGTAGGTATTGCTCACCCTCTTTCCTGAGATAAGGGAACAGAGGCTCAAAGTGGAGAGAGAGAACTTGATACAATGCTGACCCCATCTCAAGGTGGATGACAGGAGCATGGACACCCAGCTGAGTACAGGCTGTCTGTCCAAGGAAACTTGTCTTAGAGCCCCAGACCAACCACACAAGTTCTGTGCACACTCAGCAGCTTGGGGCAAGGAGGGGTTGGGGATATGGCGATGAGCAGGGACACGGGCAGTGTGGAGTACCACTTTTGCTCTGAATTCGAGAACCCTGGAGCCCGGGGATTAGGAGACCGGAGCCTGCTTTACTCAAAAGCTGTGTCATTTGGTCTTTAAAGTCACAGCCTCGTGAGGTCATCACCAACTGCTCCCCAGTACATCTGCCCAAAATAGTACTGACATCTGGGTGTTTTAAAAAGAAGACTCATTGCTGTAGAATTACAAAGAGCATCTAACCCTCATCACGCAGCACTTTTGTTTCTGTCCAGCTTGAACTAAAAGGAGAGGGAGGAGGCCATCAATGGAAAATGTAAGTGTCTTCTTTGAAGAGTTAATCTGCTGATTTCACGGCTGTTCCTTCTGCCATTTCTCATCTCTCAGATACAAGCACGAACCTAGCACACACAAGACGGTCACGTAGCTGTTCATTTCACGATGGGATCAGAAGACAAGCTCTCATGCTCCAAAGCCCCTCCTTGATTCGTACTCCAAACTGAAGCTCCTGGTCTTAGCACACTCTCCCTCCCTCTCCAGGCTTGGCTCCTAATAAAATTGGAATAAAAATATTCCAAATCAAAAAACCCCTCAATTACACTTTCAAACCCTATTTGGTTCCATTGAGCAAATCCATGAGGTCTAGTGAATCCCTCCCTGTGCACTGATGATTCCAACTGCCCACAAGATGAAGTCTAAATGCCCCCAGCCACTCTTGCTCTGCCTTCCTATGCAGTCCAGGCTACAGGGATGCTGTCCCAAAGCTGTTCCCTAAGGGTGACACATTCCCTAGCCTCTGGGCCCTCACACATGCTGTTGCCTCTGATGAAATCTCTCCATCCACCTCTTGACCTGGCAAATCACACCTGTTTCAAGTTCCAGCTCAAATGTTACCACTGCCCTGAAGCCTTCACCTCACTGTGGACCCTGAGCATACTATATGCCTTACTTAATTCCCCTGATTATTTGCACCTCTATCATAGTAAGAGAAAAACACAAGAAAATTGTAGGTAATAATACTATGGAGAAAACACAACAGGTGTATGTGACAGAGTGACGTGGGGCAGAAGGCAACTTTGGATGGGTCAGAGAAGTCTGCTCTAAGAAGGTGGATTTGGGCTGGGGCCTGAGAGACAAGAAGACTATGTCTGAAGGCTGAGTGTCACCTGTGGAGGGAAAAGCATGCGTGAAAGTCTTAAGTGGGAGTGAGTTTGATGGATGTGAGGAATAGCAAGAGGGGCCAGGAGGCTACATCATCCCGAGCCGTAACAGCATAGCAAGACACAGGCTGAAGAGGAAGGCAGGCTCTCCCAGTTGTGATAAGCAGTCAGGGTTCTATCCTATGTGGAACAGGAAGCCACCAAAACATTTTAAGCAGGGACGTGACCTAAAAGATGATTCTGGTTGCTGAGTGAGTAATGGCTTACAGAGTGGACACATGATATGGTTGGTGGTAGTGATAGTGGCCAGGACTAGCACAGTGGACAGAAGATAGAGATGTAATGGGTTGGGGTGTAATTTGGAGACAGAGCTGAGAGCATTTACTGACACGTAAGATGTGGGTAATGAGGGCAAGGGCTTGTATCCACTTCCGACCATACCAGTGTGCATTCCCAGAGAGCAGGAGGCATTTCCTGAATCTCTGGATGGTGGCACCGTGCCTCCGTGTGCAGGGACTCTGTGACAACATCGCATCTGCTCAGACAAGTCTGAAAATGTGTTCCCTAGGTGTGTTTGTTTCCACTCTTCTTAAAGCTTGCAATAAATTGCCTTGTCATCTGCCTGGTCTCAAACAAGCCATCCCTCTGTGGCTGGCGACTCCTCAAGGGCAGAGTGCCCAGCCCACAGAGGTGCACTATCCACACCTGCTGAAGGCACTGAAAAGGCCACAGGTGCTAACACCTTCGAAGCAGAGAGCAGAGGCAGCATCACCAGAAAAAGTCCACAAGACCAGAAGCTAAAGGCCATGCTTATTTGTTTGTGACAGTCACCTAAGTGTGCAGCTTAGTGATCAGGAGCATTGACTATTGGTCACCCGGTCATGAGGCAATGACCCCTGGAAACATCTCAGACAGCACTAGGGTTCTGGGCATCTAGGGGCCTGCTGGATTCATTTTAAGCTGGAAGAAATTCCGCTGACATTTGCTGCTCCTTCAGGTTCTGAACTCTTCTGTGATTAAAAAGCTCACGAGCAACTTGTGCTCTTGCTAAGAGGTGCCAGTGTCACTGTACATTACAAAGCTGTCGAGTCTTCTTTTCCTCCCCGCCTCCCTAGCTGGGCCTTAAACAATTCCATGACTATTTCCTCCCAGATGTCTTCCTGAATGGCCCTAAATGTCAGTAATCTCTTGGAAACTGGCCACTGCTGCTGTTAATATCTAGGTTGTCAGACCTCTAACAGCGTTTGGATTTGTCATGGGCTATTAACTAGCTAACTCTTCATTAAGTCTTGGTAAAGATCGATTTCTGGGGGGCTGATCTAGCTCCACTTGTTTGCTAAATGGAAGAAACAGATGTGTCTGCCCACATCTCCAGTGGTTTCACTTTGTAGGATGCTGTGGCCTAGGCACTGGTTGGTAAAATCTTTGTCCCAAGGTGTTGGGCAGAATTGGCCTCCGTTGCCATGGTGACAGCAGGGCAATGGTAGCTTAGGGTCAGTTGCAAGAGCTTGGGGGTACTGGAGAAACCAGTCACTTCCTTCCGTCACCAAACCCACCCTGAACACACACCGCTTATTGAACCTTGAGCAAATCACTCACCCGAGCTGAGCCAATCACATAGTTTTTTTCCTGGGAATCTGGATTTCAGACACAGAGACTAAGAGACTTTAATAAGGTTGGGGGCTGGGGCTGGCACCGAAGCTAAAGCAGGGAGGGTAGCAGAGGCCAGGAGGAGAAGCCACTGTGCAGAAAGATGCAGGCACGACCTGCCTGTAAACTATCCAACTGTACCCTTAAAATAAACCCTATCAATGGGTGTCTTTTCCTTGTAACCACTCATCTCTAAGATCATGGGTTTTGACGTCAGACCAGCCTGGAATCAAATCTTGGTCCTGGCACTTCCTGTGTTATCCTTTCACATATAACCTCTCCAGGCTTTGGCTGCCTCATCTGTAAAATGGGGCTAAAGCCAATCATTTCATGGAGTTATGTGAGCATTCAGTGAGTCACCATTGGTGAAAGAACCTGCTTCACAACAATAAAGAAACTGCTGAATGCACAAATGCTCTAAAGCAGTGGTGCAATGGCGTGATCTCGGCTCACTGCAACCTCCGCCTTCCGGGTTCAAGCAATTCTCCTACCTCAGCCTCCCGAGGAGCTGGGATTACAGGTGCCCGCCACTAGCCTGGCTAATTTTTGTATTTTTAGTAGAGATGGGGTTTCACCATGTTGGCCAGGCTGGTCTCGAACTCCTGACCTCTGGTGATCCGCACACCTCGGCCTCCCAAAGCAGTGGTTCCTAATGCAGGGAGAGGACGGGTTACCTCCCCAGCAGACATGTGACATATCTGGAGACATTTTTGGTGGTTACATGGTAGGGGGCTGCTACTAGAATCCAGTGAGTAGAGGCCAGGGACACTGCTAAACATTCTACACAGGTCACTTCCAAGCAACAACGATCTGGTCTGAATGTCAGTGCTGCTGAGGATGAGACACTGTACTAGGAAGTCTGGATTATTGCAGTCAACTAGGTTGGGGACTCCTTCCCAGTGACAACACGACCACATTTCATAGCAGCAGGACTGGGGAGCTTCTGGGACTTCCCCAGGAGAGGAGAGAGAGGGACGGCAGCACAATTTCAGAGTCCGATGGGGGTACAGCAAACTCACCTCTATCAGAAGTGGGTGCCAGGTCCCTGGACTGATGTTTGGGGTAGGGATGGCAGAATAAGTCCAGGCAATAGTAAAATGTGGGTGCTACAATGAGATACTGGGGTTCTGGGGAGGTCTGAGGCAGTTTAAACAGATTCTAGATGCCACTCAGGGACAGAGCAGAGAAGCAGTTCCTATGGAGAAGTGACTGTCAAAAGCTAACAAGGTGGCAGTCCAGGACTCCAGGCAAATGGCTGTGGTCTATTAGGGGCAGAGAGAGGCAACAGCAGACCCTGTAGTTCAGTGAGAACATCACTGTCCTGGGCACCCAACCTCAGCTCTCGAGATCCAAGGTTCTGGGCATCCGTTGCTCAGATGAAGTGCCCGGTACATTGCCTGGCTTGAGAAAGATGGACTCAGGCCTGGATGGGACTGAAACTGCAGCTGGTGGTGGGAGGACCTGAGGCTGAGCAGGAAGAGGCTCAAGCCCATAACTAGGCTGATTACAAACCGATGAACACATTCTGGACTTCAAAAGATGTAAAGGATGAACGATTCGAATCACATAGGTTTTGAATGACACAGGTTTTGCCATTTTAAACAGTGGGGCCAAAAACACCAAGTTAACTGTATAACCTACAGATATATATATTTATATATTTATATATATATTTATATATTATATATATATTATATATTATATATATATTATATATATATTTATATATATATTTATATATTTATATATTATATATATTTATATATTTATTTATGTATTTATATATATTTATATATATTTATATATATATTTATATATATTTATATATTATATATATTTATATATTATATATTTGTATATATATTTATATATTATATATATATTTGTATATATATTTATATATTATATATATATTTGTATATATATTTATATATTATATATATATTTGTATATA